>NC_000023.11:79735269-80038299 GCF_000001405.40 Homo sapiens | reverse complement strand
ATTATAAAGATTCAGTTGTAGGGGATTAACAAGAAGACTGCTTAGTTAAGCGAGTAGTCCTTTTATCTAGCTTATTCATTAATCTATCAAATTTTAGGTGATTTTAGTTTATGGGGACCTTGGGTATGAAGCATACTCCAAACTCTTGGTATTATCCTCCTGATAGACATCAGAGTAGTCTCCCTGGTGCGCTCTATTCTCTCCAAAGTTTTAAATGTTTGCATGCAGCCATCTCTAAAATGTCAAATGGTCTCTCTTCAACTGGAGTAACAAAAGCTGAAAAAAATGTGTAACCACGAGAGCACCATAACCTATAAATAATGTGCTAAAGCCAGAAACTGAAAATAATGGTAACTAAGGGTGGCACTAAGGCCCTAAGGTTTGGTCAAACTCTTACCTAAGTGAGAACCCAACTAGAAAGGAGAAATTTATAAACAAAATTATAGGAGGCCATTGTTTTGGAGTGAGCTCATGCACTATGCCCCAACAGACCAGATCAAAGAAAAATGGAGTCACTCATGTTAAATGTTGCATGATCAAACTTAGACTTTAAGAAAACACATAGATGCAAAAACATATCAGGTTTTGTTTTTCTCCTGTAAACGGGATGTTTGAGCATAAGAAGGTACAGTCTTTGCTCCTACCTTACAAAACCCACTCAGTTTATAAACTCACAATTGAGAAGGGCCCCTTCACACTCTTGGACATCAATGAGTAAAGTTTTGGTCAATGACATCAAAGTGACATCAATGACTAAAGTTTTGGTCAATCTCTCAAAATTGAGAAGATGACCAAAAGGGGGGAATTGTTAAATCAAGATTAGCCTAAAGCTGCCTCCTTACACATTTTAAGTTCTGCCTAAAATTTTTTCTGTACATCATGAACTATAACAAGTGGAATTGTAAACAGACCATAGCCTACACTTGTGCCAATCACCGAGTTTTGGCCTATCAAATGTTGCCAACTCTTTGAACCATGTTCAAATAAGACAAACCTCGAGCTGTAACCAACCCAGCTGTTTCTGTATGTCATTTTCCTTTTTCTGTCCATAAATCTTCTTCCACCACGTGGCTGCCCTGGAGTCTCTGAGCCTACCCTGGCTCAGGAGGCTGCCCAATTCACGAATTTTTTATTGCTCAATGAAATTACTTTAAATTTAATTCTGCTAAAGTTTTTTTTTTTTTAATTACTGGCAAAGCTGCAGAGAAAAGGGAATACTTGTAGACTGTTGATAGGAATGGCAAATTAGTTTAGCCACTGTGGAAATCAGGTTGGAAATTTTTCAAAGAACTTAAAACAGAATTACCATTTGACCCAGTAATCCCATTATTTGGTATATATCCAAGAGAAAACAAGTCATTCTACCAAAAAGTCACATGGACTTATATGTTCATTGCAGTGCTGTTCACAATAGCAAAGACATAGAAGCAACCCAGTTGCCCATCAACTCTGGATTGGATAAAGAAAATGTGGTACATATACACCATGAAATACTATGCAGCCATAAAAAGAATGAAATCATGTCCTTTGCAGCAACATTTATGCAGCTGGAGGTAATCATCCTAAGCAAATTATCATAGAAATGGAACACTCAATACCACGTTTACTCACTTATGAGTGGGAGCTAAACAATAGGTACTTTTGGACATAAAAATGGCAACAATAGACACTGGGGACTACTAGAGGAGGGAGAGGCAAGAGTTGAAAAACTAGCTATTGGATAACATGCTCAGTACGTGGGTGACGGGATCAATCATACCCCAAACCTCAGCATTATGCAATATATCCAGATAACAAACCTACACCTGTACCCCCACTGAATCGAAAATAAAAGGTGAAATTATTCTTAAAAAATAAGTAAAAATAAAAAATACTGTTCCTCCTTCACTCACAATCTAGTAGAAGAAACATGCATATGAATAACTAAACTAAAATATAGCATAATATGTATGTGTATGTGAAGCATCAGGCCTTTGTTAGCATCAGCTGGGATATTCAACCCCAACTACCCACTGGAAGACGCTGTATCTTGCCTACCCAAGGGCTAGGGGCAACAGCCTTGATTAATCGCACCCAGAGGCCTGCTGAATTTGGCTACAACACTTGAGTGCAAACAGTGGATTAGTTTATCCTAATGCCATATATATGTGGTGCGAGAGCCTGCAGAGCCTTTTGAAATGTGACGCCCCATCGTCACCATTGCCTCATTAATATACAATTATAGAAAAGTATCATGGTGACAGGTTGCAAAATCATTATACTTTTGCTAAACAGTTCTTTCTCATGATTTGAAGAGGATCCAATCTGAATTTTGCAAAACATAGCTACTAATGTAACAAACACTGTTTGGCTTGTGTATGGGTTCCCTTTAAAGAAAACCAAATACAATGTTAGCATAGGTACAGCAGTGAGTAACTTTTCTACTTCAACTTGGGTCTTACTGAGAAACCAATGACTCTTCCAAAAAGTAATCTATTTGTTGGTGTTTTTATTAAGTAATTTTTTTCTATAATTTACAATTATCAATAAAGAAGAAAATCAGTCTGATTAGACAGTGTAATTGGTAGAAAGGTCACAAAATCTTTATGTCACAAAGGAAATGGTGAAAACGCAATTTCAGGCAAAATTGAAATAATTGTAAAGTTCTAAAACATCAACATGTTCTAAAAAATGATCATAAAAATGAAAGATAGACTGAATTATGTATTCAATAAAAAATCTTTAAATACATTAACCTTCAATCATTGTAAACTCATGATTTTATTACTTTTCAGTTCTAGTAAAAATTTGAACTATTTATACCATTCTCTACAACCAAGATATTACGTTATACTTTATCATGTGCATAAGTATGTGACCTTCAATCCAAAATCAAAATTCTGCCACTTTTAACAACAATTAAAATATAATAACTTGATCAAAAAGTACTATAATTTCAAGGTTTTCTATTCTATTTAACTTTAAAATTTGTGACTCTCAGGCAGTTTAAAAGATAAAGCCAATAGACATGTAGATACATTTCAGCTAAGTAGAAAGATCCTGTAACCATTTTTGTACATCTGCTGACTATAATGCATGTATACATATCAATATGCAGTACAAATTTGTAAACATGAACATTTGAAACTTTGAAAGGAAATTATTCTAGTCTTTTTCCTGTCAGTATTTTATTGAAACAGCATGTCAAAAGTTGGCCAGCACCACACATGTAAATAGTTTTAATACTGAATATGTTTCCAGTGTTCTGTGTATCTATTTGTTCTGTTTTATGTTGTCAACAAACCCATGTTTATTTGCACAGTTTTAATACAAATTATCATTTAATTGCAGGCCAAACTTAAGAAGATTAAATGTATACCAAGGCATTTATATGAAAGCAACTGCCTAAGCTATGTATTTGGTTGGTTTTAAACTGCTCCAATAAACATGCTAAATTCTAGTGAAGTCAATTGGTAAACTGTTGCTTTATAACACAATATTATGGTTACTTTGGCTAATTAAAAATTTTTCAGCACAAATGCAACATATCTCTAAATCTGAGTAAAAATATTATACTCTCACCCTGCCAATTCAATTCATAAAGTACAGTACATGCAGTTGGACATTTCTACGTGTGTTTAAATTTGCCTTTCCCCAAAAGTATCTATAACTAATAGCATAAGTATGTAACGACTAGGTGTTCTTTTTAGCATCTCTTATTAGGGAGGGGTGGGAGAAAAAGCAGAACACTGTAAATTATTTAATAACAAAACAAAACTAAAACACCGATTCTATGTGTGTGTGTGTGTGTATACACACACGTTACAGTGTGACATCTGGAATTTATCAAACTGCATATTCAGATAAGGAAGAGATTTGTTAGTGAGATTTAGTAAAGAAATAATGACCGCCTACTACCCTACTGTATACATATAATTTGATTATCTTAAAGCATCTAAATTTTGTAATTAGCATGTTTGTAGACCTTTGTAAAATATATTTTTTATTTTATTGTAAAATATATTTTAAATACTTATACAAAACATTTGTTTCAGTCATGTTCTTGTTCAGCATTACACCAGTAATACTTAAAATATATGTATCACCTGGTTTATGTGAGCCACGGCTTATTCCTAGGGTGCATAATAAAAAATGATTAGGAGAATAAAAGGGAAGTCTTCCATAATGGAATGGTTCACTGAATCATCACTTGCTGATTTAATTTTTCATCTCTTTTCATCCCACAGACATGCTTCAACCTCACAAAAGAATGAGGTCTATTCCATTCCCAGAGTATGTGTAGAACCTATGTTTAATAGCAGTGAAATATCATGAGTATCTGTCTTCATAAACTGAGGAAAATAAACCTCCTCATTTTCGAGCACAATGAATAGGAGCAATGATATATGTGAGTTTGAAGGCTCTAAAATTATGTAACATAAGGTTATATATGATACTTTAAAATGTAATTTCCAGAGGGCTTAACCCCCCTGTGGGTGAAAAGAAATAATAGTATTAGAGTTTGATGTCTAAATTATATTACCTAAAGCTATATATTGGTCTTTAAAGTGTAATGAATAGAGAATTTATCTACTTAGATATGTGTTTTGTAACCAGGCTCATACTTTAAGTCCTTGATTTCAGCTTGACTGATGGTTCCACAAAATAATACCTTCCTGACCAGAGAATCTGACTACAGGTCTGAGCCTCACTGGGGACTGTACAAGGGTAAAGTACCATTCATTTATTTTCTGACTCAACATACAAATTTCACAGAGTTAATGAAATGCTTACTTTCCCTATATTTATTTGTGGTAAGTCATATAACCAGGTCAGGTTAAGAATCAGATTTCATAAATTTAGTGAGCTGAATTAAGGAGGAATATAAAAAGAAGTGGTGCCCATATATGTATGGTCAAATCAGATGGAAATAGAGGTTTTAATTGTTAGATTTGGGGGTCTATTAAGTATCATTTGGCCACTTTTATCAGCTATTTCACACTTAGTCCAACAAGAGTGGCTTTGTATTTTTGTAGATTTCTAAAGCAAGTCTAACTTTTAGCTGATGCAGGTGAAAGTGATAGAATTACACATTATTTTGTTTTTCATTTCATAACCATAGCATCAATTTACCCAGTTACTCAAATTTTGCACCATCCGTTGAGGAGTAAGAATTTATTAAACAAAAAATGGTTGAAGGCACTAAATATTTACTGTGCATTAATTAGAGCTGTTAGAAGATTTCTGCAAATGAGTCACTTACTTAGAAGCAGGGGACTACTTACTGAATCTCTTGAGGTTTCTTCCAAGTCTAATTATCCATGAAGGCTTTCCCTTGTTTCCTTCTTCAATTAAAACTACAAAATGACAATTTATGAATATTATTTAATGTAGCTAAACATAAATGTTTACCTTCTTGTATTTAAACGTTTTCCCCTTTATGTTAATCACCATTACCAATGTAATTACCAATGTAATTACATATTAGTAGTTGTATATAGGTAATATATAGTCATATTATCTGAAACATACAGCATAGGGTATATGTATTCTGGAGAAGCTCCAAAATTAATCCGTTCTTTTAAATAGTCACTAAAAAGTAACCCAGATATCTCTTTGATTTTTCAGTTAAATACTTTCTCTTGCCAATTACTGATGTTCTCCCATGTAGACCTCCGAATGTTTCATTTATAATCTGATATAAGGGTTTCTGCTGAAAAAGTAACAATCCATTTTACTAATTAAAGTTAGCCTTTAGCTTTCCTGTTTTGGAGTAGACAAAAATAAAATGTCTTTTCTTATTTTAATTTCTTGTTTAATAAACCTGGGTAGTATACATTTTATTCCTTAAAGACTTTTGCAACAGTATCTAATTACATTAGATCACAAATAATACTTCATCTTGACTAGAATACTTAATTTGAATGCAATCATGTGGCATCCTATCCCTACTCCCAGGAGTGGGGATAATTTTAATACATATAGAGGAAGGCACATTTATAAGGCATATTTGAGATGAAATAATCATTTTGAGCAGAATAAATAATTAATATGCTGTTCTTTATATGTGTTGGAAAAATTAGAAAAATCAGTTTAGCAGTTTGCTTAGTTTGTCAAAAGTCAAGTCATTCCATTGTGATATTAAAGGGCTTGGCTTAATAAAATGTCTAGAGTTACTAGCATAAAACTCAAAATCTGATTCATCTTAAAGATATACAGGCTGTATATAGGTTATACCTCATAATTATTTTCAGAAATTTAGGGCCTGGTGAAAGGAAACTTTTCAACTTCATAAACTTAAATAAAAGATTATTCTACTTTTGTCTAGTTTAATTCACTATGATTGACACACAAGAGTGGAGTTAAATCATACCAGAATAATGATATTTTCATATTTATGGATTCAAATGTATTCTCCCTCTTGTAATCATAATGTCTTTATTTTCTTACAAAACTATAATAATACGTTTTTTTCTAATAGTGTATAAAATACCAGAGGTGTTAAAGGAATAAATGAACAAGTTTTATCTAGGAATTATCCAAAAATAAAAGAAAATAAAAGCAAATTTATTTAGAGTGTTTTACTTTTCATTTGATCTTTGTGTTCCTTCAAGATTAAATGGTCTTTAGGCTACAAAGATAAATAAAATATAATACTTGAAAGTTTGTGTCCTTATTTGTATCTTAAATTGAGATTAGTAGTTTCTTCAACAGCAAAGTATAAAGGCATGAGGCAAACAAATAATTAAATTTTCTTCTACAACTACTAGATAATTACATGAAAGCCGATCTTCATTTTTAAAACTGAAATTGCTTCACTGCTTTCATGAGAATTACATCCATCTTCTTTTTGTCATTGTCAATGTGTAAAATGCAGTTAACGTGGTGAACTAGCTTCAGTATAATTGAAAATCCCATCACTTAGCATCAATTTTCACTGGTGGAGTATCATCAAATAATATTTATTGCATATCTCATTTTGAAGCTCAAGGCCACTGTAATCAGAGATTCCTGTAGGTTTCATTTGACATTATAAACAACTCTTCATGAATATTATTTGATAAGGCACTTTAAATCTTTAAATGTATAACAAAGAAATACTGTATTGTAATGATGCTTTTTAAGCCCAATAACTGTTGAAATTTCTTTGGCTACAAATAAAGAAAATATTTGTTTACATGTAATTGTTCTAGAAATGCTATTGTCTTACTAAAGGTAATGGTTAATTGCTGGATACCAATGAACATGATTACATTTGCCTTCTCCAAAAGAAACTTGACTGTCGTCATTCACTTTAAGATGGTTGGAACCACTTATCAGTCTAGATGGCATAGAGAAATTGTATCTATAAAAGTCATAGGAAGGATGAAAGGAGCAACTAAGTGCTTCTGGGGTGATGGAGTTTGGCAGAAAAATATTTCCAGGTGACTGTAATCCATATAACATTTGATTGGTAGAATTAGGTGCTTGTAGATACTGATCACTGGAGTCTTCAGATGAACCGCTTTTTGAATTGGTGACCCCCAGGGAAGATAACATAGGCACTTCCATCATGAGTGGGGCTAAAGACTGAGAACTGTTGCTGCTTGCTAGTCTTTCAGGAGCCGGTAAAACAAGAGGTTGCTGTTGCCAAAAATTAGTTGGACAAATCTTGTAGCATAGAGGCAGGTTGACATTGGGCAGGTATGCCTCTGGACAGGGCATTCCAAGGGAGCTTGTAGGTAAATGAAACATAGGTGAAAAGCAAAGTGGAGAAAGTAAGGAGTTCAAAGGAGAGGGGGCCCCTCCACTAGAGGTCACTGGAGATGAGCCACTGCTTCCACCTGTGAATGACAATTCAGCCAATGAATAATGAACTTGACATTTGATGTTCCTGCAATATTAGTAATCATATCCTTCACTATCTGTGCTTCATCCTTAGATTAATTTTCCTTGTGAGTTCACAGTTCTTTTAGCTTCTTTGAGACAGGACCTGCTCATTCCTCTGACTAAAGTTGAATATAGTATCTATACTAGGTATCGCTAATGCCTGGGTTACCCACTGGTACAGGTCTGTAGCCTGTTATGAATCAGGCTGGACAGCAAGAGGTGATCAGCAGGCCAGTGAGCATTACCTCATTGCCTGAGCTCTGCCTCCTTTCAGATCAGCGGCAGCATTAGATTCTCACAGGAGCGCACACTCTATTGTGAACTGTGCATGTGAGGGATCTAGGTTGAGTGCCCTTTAATGATAATCTAATGCCTGATGATCTGAGGTGGAACAGTTTCATCCCGAAACCATCCCCTCCCAACCCCCACCATTCGTGGAAAAATTGTCTTTCACAAAACTGGCCCCTGGTACCAAAAAGGTTGGGGACCACTGATCTATACTACTACCACTATTACTTTTAGCACTACTACCATGTATCATGTATTAAGCATTCATTTGCTCAAATACTGTGCTAGGCACTTGAACCACATTTGTACAAAGAATTACAAAGAAGTCCAATTATGACTTAGCGTCAATTATATCTTACAAACACAAACTAGTTTTATTATTTTAAAACCTTAAAATGTTACTAAAATAAGTAGTTAAGATGCACAAATTGATTGGTTGTTTGGGATTATATAGATTTAGTTTATAGATAGAATGTATAGATTTCATGTACGTTGATTTTTTAAATTCCTCTGACCAAAGGTACACTGATTTAAAAAATTCCTCTGACCACTGATTTAAAAAATTAGTGAACATGAAAATAGTCTTGTATAAATGAAAGCAATATATTTAAAAGCCTTAGCTTTTTTTCTTATACAAAAACAATGAATGGGGCAATTTCCATACTGCATTATATCTTAAGAGTTGGAAATAATTTTGCAAGTTAAGAAATATAAGGATGAATGTAAGTGTTCATATCAATGACGTTTGCTGATTTTTTATGTTTGCCTAGCATCTACTAAAACTAGGGATAATTATAAGGTCCAGGAAACGCTAAACTCTAAAGCTTATTTTTGTAAATGTCTGAATTCAAACAATTGGTTATTGGCTGGATTTGACCAAGTTGTTTCTTTTTTAGTGTTGCTGTTTTCTTAACTATTTTGTGTATGTAGACGTATCCTAAACCTTCATCAACAAGATGGCAAATATCTTTTATAATAAAGCATTTAAAAGTTATTTAAGAAACTAGTAGCTCATTTATTTGCAATTTGAGAGCATTTTGGATATGTTAAATAATTAAGAAAACTGTGTACTTTAAATTATCATTTCATGATCATCTTTAACTTTTTCTTTATTAGTGCACATTTGTTTTGACTTGGATATTTAAAAGTATGCTTTCTAGATGCTATTAGTTAAATCGACACTGTAAAATAAGTGTTTTTTTTTTCATGCAATTCCCTAAACCACATCAAGACAGCCATTCCAGTGAAATATTTCACCAAATGATTAGACTTCACTTCTTCCCTTTTCAGTTAGTTGTTATGGCATCATGTAAAACTCAACCTAACTATAATGTTGGTTTTGCTTGGCAATTGTAACCTTGAATTAATGGTCAAAGACAAGCAACTTCGATGGAGTAAAGACAAAGGGATAAAAAAAATCCATGTCATTTTCAAATAAAAATTATTCTATTTATTATTAACTATCAGAGCAAATTAAGGTATCCTTCCACCAGAAAGCCTGCATTATTTAATTATTATTATTTTGTCATGTAATGTACCATCTGAGGATAAATATCTTGCAAATATTTTTAAATGCTTGTGGCAATTAAATTGTGAAGACTTAGTATTATTTTTAACATTTACTTTCCCCATGAACAAAAAAGAGGAAAATTAGAGCTCAGTGATGAATTTAATGAAAGTCATTTTAACATGTACTGAAAGGTCCTCATAAAAGATAAACTATTCATTTCAATAGTAACATATTTGCAAATCAGGCTGCAAATGCACCACAGGCATATCCTAAAGAATGTGAAACAGTGAGAGGCTGAAAAATCCAGATGAAATCTGAAAATCACAGGGTGTAAGATAACTTATTAACATATGTCAATAAGTCTACAATTATCACATTTCTATTCTCTTCCTTCATGCCAGCTTCTCTCCCTTTATGCCTCTTACCTCGTCATTCAGGCAAATGTACACGCAGTTACCCATAAGTACACATTTTCTTGCATGTACATATCCCCTTGTGTAGTATTTGGTACAAGGGTTCCGGATGTTGTTATTTAATTGATATGTAAAAATAAAACAAACGTTCCAAGTTTTCTTACTTTGTGTGTCTGCGCCAAAGGTTTTAAAATCGAGAGTGAAAGAAGGCCTCCATGGGTAGGTCTCTAAAAGCCCATCCAATACACCCCTAAAAAAGAGAGTCAACTTTCAGCATCCCCAGAATGCAATTTCTGAAAATAATGATTTTGAGTTATTTTGCTATATCTTTCAGATGTAACTATTTTAAATATTTCTCTTTTATATAGCTAGACTTCTGAATAAAATTCAGTCAAACCTAGAATTCTAAAATAAGCAAGGTCTTAATAGTGAGTAGCAAAGGAGTGGGAGGAAGTAATGTTTTCAACACAAAACATCTGGGTTCCTTTCTTACCACCTACTAATTACAAAACTTAGAGCTTTTGAGTCTCTGAGTCAGTTTTCTTATCCTTAAAACTTGTGGGGGACCAGGTGCAGTGGCTCACGCCTGTAATCCCAGCACTTTGGGAGGCTGAGGCGGGCAGATCACGAGGTCAGGTGTTCAGGACCAGCCTGACCAATATGGTGAAACCCCATCTCTACTAAAAATACAAAAATTAGCCAGGCCTGTTGGCACATGCCTGTAATCCTAGCTACTTGGGAGGCTGAGGCAGGAGAATTGCTTGAACCAGGGAGGTGAAAGTTGCAGTGAGCTGAGATCGTGCCATTGCACTCCAGCCTGGGCAACAGAGTGAGACTCCATCTCAGGAAAAAAAAAAAAAAAAAAACTTGTGAAAATAGCTAGCTACATCAATATTAGATGTCATTGCTATGCTGCTTACCTGTTTCTTCCAGTATCTCTAAATCCTTTAGCAAAAGGATTTCTTTCTATTTTTAGTTTCGTAATCTATGGATTCAATAGAGAGAGAAAGATAAAGTCATTGCTTTCAGTAAGAACACTGTTGCCATTGCTTATAGTGGTTACAACCACCAGAAGAGATGTTGAAACACGTTAATATGACAATTTAAATAAATGTAACCATATTGCAAGTCATATTTAGAATGGTTAGCTCCTATTTATAAATCATTACTTTTATAAATTACCTTCTGGAGTTGCCTTCTCCCATAAGATTTATACAATTCATTATCAAACTTGCATGGATGACAATACAATAAAACTATGATTTTTATTTAGAATTGTGGAAAATGCAATTGATGGCAGTTAGCCTCTATGCCTCTAATCCAAGGTCCCTCTGGAGCCATTTCCATTCGCCTGAGACATGACCAAGTTTACCTGTTGGTTTTGGTAAGCCGTTACTGTGGTGAACTCAGTTTCTTTAAAGGAGAATGTTTTAACACCTTCAGTGGGCAAGGACTGAATCTGGGACAGGTCAACACTGCTGCCTTGCTCTATCACGTGCACTCGGGGTTTGTACTTATGCATGGATTGCAGAATGATCTGGAGGAGAAATGATCAATGCTGTTAGAAAAACTGGCTTCAGTCCCAAACCCTAGTTCCCTCTCCTGACCACCTCCACCATGTGCACACAAAAAGGCAATGATGAAGCTTAGGTAACTACTTTGTTGTGCCATTTGGCCTCCAACAGAGGCGCTCCGAGCTAAAAACATTTCCAGAGAAAGACACCTCAGCGGCACCAGTCAGCAGTGATTCCATTTCCAGATTGGGGCCTTTTCCTGCTTCAAACACTGGCGACCATCTGGTGTAGAAGTGGCACTGGGATCTGCTAGCCTGCTACAAGTTCCCATGGCAGTAACTGATAGGCTTGGATATGGTGGGTAACCTGACATACCCTACCTCCTAATCTTGGGAGCTTCCCTCTTTCCTTTTGTAGCTGGCACAGTGCCAGACTGGGGAGGACAGAAGCTGGGGTGCACCTAGTGAGAATGTGCAAGATCAATAGGACCTATGAGGGTAGGTTGTTTGGGAGATTTCCAGGATGCAGTCTGAGATTCCCCCACTTGTATCCTTCCATCACACATACCATACACTGGGTGCCCATCCAACTGCGTGGACTACAGGAAGGCAATCAGAGATCATAGTGATTGCCAAGGAGGCTAAGGTGCCTGAGAACTCCCTGAATGGTTCCCTCCTACTCTCCCAGACCAGGCATTCTGGCTTAAACAGGTCTCCTTCTGTCCTCAAACTCCCTATATTCACCATCCCCAGTCGCCAGCATCTCAGATGCTAAACAAACGTTTCAGGAGCCCTAGGTTAGCTACTTTACTTACAGGTGCAGGGCTTGAACAGTTCCTAAAAAACACAACATGTGCATCTGCAAAAAGCCTCCCTGGCCTCTCCAGGGTGACCAGTGGGCAGGAGCCTTGGCACCTCCCTCCTCGGGGTAAAGGATTGTGCTCACGTACGTGGCCTTTGTCATCCATCTCATTGTTGGTGAGTTTCATGCGATCAAAGCTGATGATCTGCCGCATCCAGGTCTCTCCCGAGCAGGGTGAGTCCGGGTGAACATAGAATCTAGGAATGATGCACAAATGGTCTGTATTCCCAGCTACCATCCACTGTGAGCTGTGATAGACGTACCTGAAAAAACACATGCTGTGGCATTAGGTGCAGCAGGCCAAAGCTGGGAGCTGTTGTGTTCTGTTCCTGAGGACTTCACTCCAGATTAGCCCAGTGATCCCAAGGGCAAGTAAGGAGAAGACTCAACTTAATTTCTAACAAGCATTCGGGGCAAAAAATAAACTGTAAATAAGCATATGTCATCAAAATGCAATGAAGTGCAGGGAAAGTAAAATGTCATGAGATTTCTAAGTCTGATTTGTATTTTCTCACAGAAACCACCACAGAAATTGATCTAACAAATTTTATCTCACAGAGATAATGGAAAAATCCACTAGCTTTGGGTGTGAAGAGTCTGGGAAGAAGTGGAGGGCTGACAAGGATGTCTTGTCTAGGCCACTGTCACCACTCTTTGTGGAAGCCCTTTTGTCAATAAGGCTTCACATCAAGAAAACTCTTAGGAACACAGCCCTGCGCAGCCTCTGGCCGATTTTCACACTATTTCCAATCTCAACTTCCCAGTTTTGCTCTTATTCCCAAGCCAGCTGCAATTTGAGAAGCAAACAGCTTTTTCTGCTGTTTCCATACTGCAGCCCCAGCAGTCCTCTGAGCAGAGCCTTCTCCTTGCTTTCAAAGCTAGCTCTGGTTTTGAGGTGGGCTGTCTCCTTGGAGGACCAGGGACCCACCTCTGGGTCAAATGCTCACAGCCCTAGTGTAAACAGCTGTCACCTCCCCAACCCCTCCAACCCTGAACTGGACCCCAAGCCCCTGAGTCAAAGTGTTGGCAAGCTGGTGTGTCTGGGGTGTATCCCAGAAGGGCTTTTTGGCTTTAAAACAGTTGGGCCACTTTCAGCCTGCTGTAGGTTGAGGGCTTAAATAAAGGGAAAATGATACTTGTACCCTCTAAGACCCAGACATTACTTCAGGGGAAAGGTTAAAGATGGACGAAAAGACAGGCCTAGACACAGGAACGCTTGACTGACCTTGAGTGGCAAATTGATCATCCTTCTGGCCTCCTGCTGCCAAAGCAGCAAAGCTCAGAGCCCAGCATGTCCCCAGATGCCCAGGCTCCCATAGAGCCTGGGGATTTCTCCCACAATTCCTTCAACCCGCTTCCCTTCTGACCACCAGAGCCCACACCCTCTGCAGTTTACACAACCAAGGCCAGAGCAGTGGGTAGGGAGAGGCTTGGGGTACATTTGGAGTTCTAATTAGTGCCCTGAATTCACGGCATTCCAAGAGGGGATGGGGGCAGAGAGAGGAAGAAGGCTTCTCTTCTTTCACTGGGAACCCCAATTTTAATAAGAAAATTCAACTCCTAAAGCCCACAGGAGAGCAATCCCCCACTCCCACCCCCCATGCTAGAGTTTTCAAAGTCATGCTGTCAGGTTTCAGGTCTGAAGGTCCAAATCCCTGGCCCTAGCCTGGGCATAGAGTACCATTCTATGGGGCCCATTACCTATAGCGTTTGGAATCCACCGGCACCACATCGATGGCCACATGGTACTGCTTCCCTGGATCCAACCCTTTCACCTTGACCCGAACAGAGGGGAACATCCGCCTGTAAGAAAGAAAATAAGGACTGACCCAAGAGCTTTTAGAAATGTTTGGAAGAGGGAGTGTTTCTGGACAAATGCTGACTCCAGTAAAAAGTGAAGGGACTCACAATACCCTTCCCTTTTCAAAATAGCAAGGAATAGCATTTGCTACATGAGGAAAGATTGTTGGTTGCATACTTGACCGAACAAGTACGGAATTTCTAAGTGGAGCAGAATATTATTACCACAAGGCTTTGTTCATGTCCCTCCCCAACCATAATAAAAAGCTATAGAAGAGAAAGTATGAGAGAAAAAGCTGTGTCCCAACCTCCTTTTCAAGGGTACTTTCTGTGAGGCAGATTTGTGGAAGGCTGAAATTAGTTAGACTCACAAAATAACCAGCTGCAGTGAAGTGGCTGTCCCATGCCAAAAGGTGGCTATGGGAATGGCTCACCTCAAAATAACCTGGGCCAGGTCTAGCGGGCGCGAGGAACTGTGACATGGGATACTGTCCATGGTTATCTTAGAGGCCTTAACTGAGAGGTCTGGCCACAGTCTAAGACCAAAGTCTGATTTTTGTCTTATACTACACAGGCAGGAGACGGGGAAGTGAGTTATTGGAGTCACAGTGTACAGGAAAGGAAGAATGAGCCACTTACATGGGGCCAGGTAAGTCCGAGCCCTATCAATTGAGGGGCTATGGCTTTCTACTGTATGTCAGGGAGTTGGGGAAAAGGGACAGAGGAGTACCAGAGCATAAAACTGGAGAGTCCTCATCTTACCAGAGCGGTAAATTAAGTGCCTAATGTGTGTGACCCTTGTGAACAGCTTGGGCAGAACCGAACCTGCCCGCTTTAGTAATGATCATCTCAGTCCCGATGTCATGGAATCTTTTCCACAGTTCAGATCCTTGAAGCTCCATTTGAATATCTTTCTCTTCCAGACTTTCAGAGCTGTTGCCGTAGCCGCTGTCGCTGCCGCAGCCAGAGGAAGCAGATGTTGAGGGCTCTGTCTTAGGTTGTTTTTCTGCTGGACACAGAAAGGCGCTCAGGGTTTGAGAGAGCGTCACAGTTCACATGCCCACTTCTCGCTGGTGCCTATCTTGGAGCAGACAGGGCCTTGTCCCTTCCCCAGGAACTTTGGCGACAGATTCCCCAAGCTCCGCATAACACCCTCTGTGGCCGCTTAATGGAGAGAGAGGGGCAGTGAAAGGTGCGACACCCGACACCTACCCCCCGCCCACACCAGCTTTTTTTTTTTTTTTTTTTAGATTTGCCAATCCTCACTCTCCTGGAGACGTTGATAACCGAGACTGGATGCCCTCGGGATTTGGGAACTCGCCCTGCTTCCCATCCCAGGATACAGCAGCCACCCGCTGGCGGTGAGAGCTTTCCGCGAAGGTAGGAGGAGGATGTAGGAGAGACTCACTTCACAATTATGTAGGGACCCTCCCCTTTACCGCAAAGAAACTGCTGTACTCCGGGATGGATTCGGAGGCGCTGAAACTTCCCCTTCACCAGGTGGTCGAGGTGTCTCGCGGCTCCTAATGTGGCTGTCTGGCTGCGTCGGGACGCGAGCCAGGCGGAGAGATGCGGAACCAGTAAGCTCAGGCAACGGGCTCAGGGCAATGGCAGTACTTACCAAGCGGCTCGCTCTTCCCTGCAGCGCTGCTCCTTCTCTCCTCCTCTTCCTCTCCGCCCTTTTTCTCCCGCAGCTCAGGCTGCTCCGCCTGTATTGGGTCTTGGAGTTTTCTTTTGCTGGGTCTCCCCACCAAGGCTTCCACGGAGAAGGCACGCGCCCGAGAGCTCAGAGCCATCCCTGGAGGGGGTGAAGGGATTCTTTGCAGCAAAGTTTCAACCTGAACTGGGTTAGGGAGGGAGGGGGAGACACAGGCGGAGGGCACAGAGGGTGAAGGAAGGAGGGAAAGCGGGAAAAACAAAACAAAACAAAACAAAACCCCAAACCCAAAACCCAAATCTGAAAAACAATTTCTGGATCTGTATTCAAAGAAAATAATTGTGTGTGTGTGTGTGTGTGTGTGTGTGTGTGTGTGTGTGTAATTTTTTTATATACATATATATTTTTTGTTTGAATAGACAAAATGAAAGGAGAGGAAGATCAAACTAGTGTATATGTCCTTCAAAGTCTAGTCTCCCTTCCTCCCAGTGCACATGTGCAGACCATTAGTCCTCAAATCCCTGATTCCAGGACCTGGCAGAGCAGAGATTGGCAAGTGCTGGCCTTTTAGGGAGCAGACCTGCCGCCAATGGCGGCTCAGGTTGCTCGGATTGGGAGTTACTGTTGCATCCAGTGAATACCCAGCCGGTCACTGCCTCCACTGTTTGTTTTGGAAACTATTGGAAGCATAAAAAACACAGTGAGTGACACTTCAGAGTCTAACAGGGAGGGGGGTTTTGGAGCTTGTTGAAAAAAAGCTATAGATAGGGAAGTAGAGAGAGGAGAAAAGGGAGATACAGGTTACAGCTTTACATTAAATTATAAAACTCAAAGACATGCGAAATAATTGCCCACGAGGGACCACTTTAAGCAGATCCGGAGAGATGTATCAGGGTCTTTTGCTCTCCAGTGAAGGCACTGGGAAACAGAAAGGAGTACAAGCTTTTGGGGCCAGTTGGCTCTGCAGTTGGAGTCTCAAATTAGGTGAGCAGCAGTTGTGCCAGTTTATCCGCTCTCTTCTGTTAGTGAGGTGAGGGCAGGCAGGAGTCTCCCAATGCCACTGTCAAGCATCAGAGAAAACTTGGATCTTCAAGCCCTGCCTCTGCTGGAGCCCAATATTCCTATACATAGTCTTTGTTTTTTCTCACAGTACTTAATCAGCAAACACAGTCTAAAAACTCCAGGTCCACCAGCAGGGCAACAAAAGGGCCTTTGCTCCCAAGAATGTGCACAACTCAAAATGTTCGGATTAAGTAATTGATTCCAGTGTCTCCTGGAATATATTCTTGGGCTGGATTTTACTTTTCCTTAAAATGAATATACAAGTTTCTTTTTTTTTCAGGAAGAGACTTGTCTACAACATCCAAAGAGCATGTTTACGTATGCAGATATGAGATGTCTGCCTGTGTGCATATGATTTGGTCTCCTACTTTTCATCAGAAATAAGAAATCAAGTGCCCCTGGATTCTTTTGCAGGTTGCATCTTAACTAATAGCATTTGCATTTTTCCAGAAAAATTATATTATTCTCCTCTGACACATTTGTAAAAAGGGCATTTAAAGCTGATCCAAGTTCATTTAAAATAAGATGCAACTTGAAATAACTTATAATATGCCAATACTGGAATCTGAGAGTAAAAGACCTGTGTGTCCTTTTAATTTCAGCTACTTAGGTACAAATGTGCCCTGCCACTGTGATGGCAGTGGTAGTGGTGGTGGTAGGGGGATATTCAGCCATAGGGAGGAGATCTTCAGGCAACTGGGTATGACTTTAAACACTCTAAAAATCTCAGTATGGCAAAGAGTTACTTACAGCTTGAATGCTGCTGAAGGGTTTGGCTCAATCATTATTTAGCCACTGCTCACCATGCAGAATTGAGAAAGACACTGTCCCTATCCTAGACAGGCAAAGTGAACCTCACAGGTAAGGCCAATTTCGTGTAAGGAACTTGGGCTGGAAAACAGCCACATCTGCATGTGATCTGAGCATTCGTTTCTTTTCGCACCCATTAAAGTGGGGGGAGAGTGTTTGTTCATTTCCTCTTACTCAGAAGATCTATCTATCTATCTGTCTATCTATCTATATGTATCATCTATCTATCTATCTATCTATCTATCTAATCTATCTCTATCTATCTATATTTTATTTATTGCATGCTCTTAGCTAAAATACACAACTAAAAAACAGAAAAGTCGAGTTTATTTGTTAATTTTAGAGTGCAATTATTACCATGTAATATTTGTGTTAGTATCTCCTAATACAGGTGTTGTCTTGCCTTTAACCTTAGCTCAATTTATTGTTAAAAGGCAGGACGTTACCTTGTATAGAAAGGGACAACTTTGCTTGGTATCTTTTTTTTTAAATAGATTTTTGTAAAAATAAAGCAAAAGATGTTTGTTGCAATGTCTGTGCTAGTATTTTAGACTACCTAACATATGATGTGATATTTTGAAATCAAGAAAATAGCATATCTTGGGTGTAAGTTTCTTTCTTAGAAGAAACTTCTTTCTTAATATTTATTACATGCATGTAATTTAGTCATCCAGAATTTTTTTATTTTTGTAATCTGAACTTTTTCCATTCCCATTTCTGTATATATCTGTTGACATCACTGGGAGATATGTAGCTTAGCTCTCCCTTGTATGTACTAGACTAAAATATAGTTAATTCCTGTTAACTTGTATCTGAGGGGGAAAATATTGCATTATCTCATAACTAGCTTTGCAGTCTGGTCAGCTGCTGAAGCACTGGGCTGTCAGGTATTGGGGGCCTGAGGCGCATGTACTAATGCCAGCAATTCATTCTCCACACCTGGAAGTCTCTTTGGGGCATCTCTATATTTCATCCATGAACACCCATAAACCTTTATAAGAGACTCTTCAACAATGGAGGGGCAGCGAAACATGTGGAGGTTTCTGAGACCCACAGATGCCCACAATAGAAAGAAGAATATGTTTTTTAAGTTTGATAATAGGAAAATCCTTACAGTAAAATGTTGGTTTTGAATTGCCCACTCCCCATGATTAAGATATTTTGGCATAGTTCCAAGCTTGTGGAACATGAATCTGAAACAAGCTACTCATGGCCTTTTTTTTTTGTCATTACTTGGGAAAGACCTCCTTAGAATGAACACTCTAATGAACACTTTAATGAAAGCAGAGTCAGGAAATGTAATCAGCTTCCCCACAACATCATTTGAGTACCTGAATTCAACTTTGCCTGCACTAGCTAAGTGACATGAAGAAATAAATTATCGTTGTTTGCTTAAGTGAGCTTCAGCTGGGTTTCCATTACTTGTAGACAAAAGAGTCTTGACAAATACACTCATCTTGATAAAATTTGGAAGATCACTTTCTTCTTCTAGTTTTCTTTCTTCCTACCTCTTCTCCTTTTTCAATACTACTGGTTATGAGAATAGGAAAATTATGTTATTGACTAAATTTTACTTTCTACATGAATTCTTCAGGCTATGATAATAAATAGGAATAAGGCTCAAGCAGTACAGCATGTAAGAAGACAGACTTTAGATTCAGACTGACCTGATTCAAATTCTGACTCTACTTTCTATCTGAATGACCTTACACAAGTCTTTTTTTTGCATTCAGTTCTTTGTTTTAACCATTTAAAGCTATTATTTCTAACACTCCTATCATAGAGTATGTTTCTGTAAGTGTGTTTATATATCTGAGAGTTTAGTAAAAAGAGAAGAAAACATGCAAACCACTTAGGACAAAGCCTGGAACATAGTAAGCACTCACAGATGTTTTCAAAATTAAAGAGATGATGGGAGTTAATTTCAAGAATGTGCTAATCTTTCTATCAACTATACAGCTGTGAATTCTTTGAGGCGAAACACTCGAAGGGGAAAACTTTGGGATCAACACTGGAACCCCCAACTTTTGGCTAAATCCTAAAGCAGATTCAAAAGGTTGAAAGTCTTTAGGAAAGCCACCTTTTTTTTTAAGAAATTCAAATACTATTTTAATAAATAAAATTAGTGAATTAAACCAAAAGATTACATTTGAATTTCAAAAATCCATAGGAAACATGTCTTCTAGAATACATGACCTGTTTTTATCAAGTTCATCCTTGGAAATATATCTTTGGTATTTACCAATGCAATGTAAGTGTATGTTCTTATATGATTAGATAAAATGTGTTAATGACAAGACCCTAACTCGTAGCTGTGTTCTCACTTCAGGAAATTGAGGGATGTGGCCTAATTAATATTAAAGTAATTCTCACACTGAATCCCTCAACTTCTGGTTAGCTTAATTCAATATAATCTCTCAAGAAGACTGTGCTTTTATTCATCTAGTCTTGAGTTATGCATGTCAAACTTTGTTACTCTTGCTCCTTGGTAGAGTAGGGGAAGAAAAAGTAGAGATACAAATTCTTATCTGTGTTCGCTGTGTTCTTCTCATGGGGAGGATTGGAAGCGAAATGCTCATGCTTGCAAAAACTTTAGCTACAGGAAAATGCATTCTGTTGAATTTAATCATGTGTTCATACTGCTATCAAATGGTGAAGGCCTTCCTATGATAATAATTACAACATTAGGCTTCAGTTCATTGTATTTCTCATTCTAACTGAAGTATATCAAAGGCATACAACTACTTTTTCTTATTTCTTCACTGAATTAATAACCTAAGGTCGATAGAATTTTTAAAAATTTCCTAGGAAATTTGCCACCAGAATTATGGGGACAATTTTGTACGTGGCTAATTTTGAGCAGGATAAATGAATAAACGAAAAAGAAAAAACCTTTTTGAAAGTCCAAATGTAATTCTACCCTATGGTGATTCTAGTAATTGCCAGAAGAGGCATTGTATGGTCACCTTTCAGCTGTCTTTGACTTCCTGGAGCAGTGAAAATAATAAATAATTATAAATGCATCCTGTCTCTTTTAGTCCTCAAACACTCTCCATTAAAACATTGAGCTTAAGGCCAGGTATATGGGCTCACACTTGTAATCTCAGTGCTTTGGGAGGCTGAGGGAAAAGGATAGCTTGAGTCCAGGAGTTCGAGATCATCCTGGGCAACATAGCAAGATCCTGTCTCTACAAAACCTAATGAACAAAATTAAAGAAAACACACACACACACACACACACACACACACACACACAAAAACAACACCAAACTAGTGTCAAACCTATTCCTTTTTATGTTACCTCTCTGGTGCTCCATTGGCACTTGCACAGTCATATATTAACTGAAGGCTCAATCAGGACTGCTGGACATAATATTTTTTCATGGGTAGAGTTTGTGCTATGTGAATTTTTAGGTTAGGTCATTTTAACTTGGGTATTATGCCTTATACATTTCTTTTACCTACTCCACCCCCATCTTTCCTCTTTCCTTTTCTTTGTTTTTTTTCATGCTTTTTTTTTTTTTTTTTTTTGAGACAGAATCTCCCTCTGTTGCCCAGGCTGGAGTGCAATGGCACAATCTCAGCTCACTGCAACCTCTGCCCCCCAGCTTCAGGTGATTCTCCTGCCTCAGCCTCCTGAGTAGCTGGGATTACAGGCGTGTTCAACCACGCCCAACTAATTTTTGTATTTTTAGTAGAGACGGGGTTTCACCATGTTGGCCAGGCTGGTCTTGAACTCCTGACCTCAGGTGATCTGCCTGCCTCAGCCTCCCAAAGTGCTGGGATTACAGGCTTGAGCCACCGCACCTGGCATCATGCTGCCTTTTTAAAAATGAGGATGAGAGTCAGAGTTACCTCCAAATATGCTATATGCATCAGCCTCAAAGAAAGTGGGCTAGGATTTGAAAAATGACTGCAGGTGCCAGTTTGATATTTTAAAATAAATAATTCAGACATATAGCAAAATATCACTGGCTCAGATCACTTGAACGGAGATATGCCAAGTTAATTGCATCAATGAATTATTGAAAAAAAATACTGTTTATGAGGAATTATTTTATCTTCCTAAAACTAGAAAAATGCTTGCTTTACACCCTCTTCCCCTACACACGCTTTCTCACCAAATGACTCCACTCAGTTCTCAGATCAGTGAGTCATCATCTGGCTCTGCCTAATTTGGGCAGCCATGAGCCCAACAGAAGCAGATCCTTCTGTTAAGAAAGAAATCATCCTGAACTCCATTGGGCCCACCAAATCTCGTGCTAATCTTTTCACTATTTACTTACTCCTGGATATTTACAATATATTTTCCTCTTCTTAACTTGGCACCCTACCTCATCATTCCTAGGACATGCGAATAAGGTACTAAAGGCTTCTTTCCATATTCTCATAATTATCTGTATTTAATCAGGGCTTTTCAATACCTAACAACCACAGATGTACTGACACTCAAAAATATTTGGTAGTAGGCTGAGGGATTTTCCCTAAGTCTATCAAAACACCAAATATAGGCAAACACCTATACTGCCTGTGCTTGAAGCCAATCTATGCCTTCTTTCATACACTGTCTTCCTTCCCAGGGTCCCCACATTAATATTACTAGAGAAAAAACTGCTCCTTCATGAAGTAAATATTTGTAGTTAGTAAACCCTGATCAATGCTCCGAGGGGCAAAAGGGAAGGTTTTAATAATTAAGAAATAAAGACAAATTTTAAAAAATACAAAAGAGAAATCACAGAAAACAATAAGGTCTTCATGGAGATAAGTCTGCTGAACTGAAACAAAGCAACCATATCACCACCCTACAGCAAACTCCTTGACATGCCTTTTATGGCCAGGTGCTTTCTGTAGTCCCCTTCTCTAGTTTGAAGGCATGTGTGTGTGTGTGGTATGTGTGCTTGTGTGTTTGTGTTACAATGCGGTGTATGAGCTCAAGCTCTGGTAAGAAAAATCAGGAATAAGTAAAATAAAACAATCTTTTTTGGCACACTTTGATGTTCCCTCTCTCACCCCAATGCCCATGCTTTGGGACTTCAGACCTCCTCCTGAAATCAAATGAGTGCAAAGAAGATCAAATAATCCTTCTGCCTCTGTGGATCTAGAGCTCCTTGGGGAAGAGCCTCGGTAGAAAGTACCACTACTTAGAGCCCTTGGCTAGGGCCACTTTTCAGTGTTAGACACCTGCCACTCAGCTCAGTGACTTCCACGTTGGCTTCAGTCCTCACCTTCCAGGAGGCACTCCCGTCCCTTCCCCTTGCTCCCTAGCTCCCTAAACAAGATCTGTGAGCACTAATGCATAGTATCCTGGGCCTGGGAGCCTTCTGGCTGCATTGCTGCCTAGGAGAGGGACTATTGCTGGCTTCTTTGGGTATTACAGCATACTCTTAACAGACTGGACAAGTCTAGCCTTCATTAATTTTAAAGAGCACTAATATTCTACTTCCAGTCCCCCGAGAAGTAGTGATTGCAAGATCTCTGTCACAAAACCCCCAGTTAATGAAAGATGAAACTGACAGTTATCAGTTGGACTTTCCTAATGTTAGGGACTTGGTTAGTGATAGTTAACAGGAGAGGAAGAGGCTGAGGAGAATCCCTGTACTGATGTCCCACTAAAACCCATAACATGGTCAGTAAGGCAGAGGTATTTACCTGGAAGGCAAGAAGCAGTGTGTTGCTGTGTCAAGAGGCCAGGCCAGCCCAGTGGTTCTGAAGTCAAGTCTCAGTCAGAGCTCATTCACTCTGCAAATGCCTGCAGCAGCTCTTCTCAAGAGCCCAGAGAAGAGTGGCCTAGAGCCAGAGCACAAGAGAACGTGGTGTTCTGGCCCTCAGCTGTGGGAGAGGCACTTGCTACTTCCGGGGTTGGACTCCAGCAACTTCTCCCACAGAAGACCTGCTGTTACTCAAGGTTGGCCATGAAGTCACAATGACAGTCTGTGATTTCAGCTTTCAGAGCCTCAAGGCTGCAGGCACCCTGCATCCTACCTCAGCCTCCCGGTTGCAACCATACCTGGCTGCATCCTGCTCTGAGCTACAGGCTAATGCACTTGGGAAAAAATGCCTTTGAAGCAGGAGTGGATTGACTTTACAAGTCTAGTCAGCTCATTTCCATGCCCAGCAGGAGCACTTGCAGTTGGAAAACACTTTTCAATCCTCAATCAACAACAGCAGCTCAGAAGCTCCACTCAAGGGGTTCAGCTCTGGAGTCATCCACTAAGAGACCCATTCAGCCTCAGGCAGTGATTCCCAGGCAGTGTAGAGACTCTCAGTGGCCAGGATCCCCCTCTCAGTCTGCAAGCGCCACATAAACAAAACTTTACACCTCCTAAAGGAAAGATCCAACACACACACATATACACACACACACACACACAATTTAATGCACAGCGAATCCCAGAAATGTCTTGGCTGACACATTTTTCTGCTGCAAAATAGAACATGTTTGATTTTTACTTGTTGGTTTATTTCTCCAGGGCAGCTCAGAGAGAATCGAAAAGGGCTTAAGGCCCTAAGTCAGAAGAATTTACTAGCAATAAGTGATCCATAGGTACTTGAAAAATCAATGCTCATTTTATCCTCTAGTGAAGAGGCTCTCATAGAAGAGAAGACAGATTCTGGATTAGTGCGGTTTAATTGGACGAATTCTATAGCTTTTAAATTTATTTTCTCCATTGCAGAGAGCACCATACCTTTCAAGTAATGCAGGAAACCCCAGCTACCCCGCATTGGGCTACCACACCGCAGTGCCATGGATAACTAGGAAGGACCCAGGGGATTTCCCAAATAAAACCCCTGAAGCAGATAATGCCTGTTATAACCCTGCCTGAAAAACCAGAGGCCAAGGAGGACCACGCATTTCTTATCAATACTGAATGCCAAATAGTGACGGTGATATTTCTGATGGGTTTATAAATGCATTCCGGTGTTCCTGAGATTTGCAGCTCACAGTCAACCACACAAAAACTCAAGGGATTATTTTTTAATTTTTAAATTTATTTTACTATCTCATGTGAAAGTTTTAAATGTCTGAAGAGGACTACAGTCTCTCTAAAGTATTTTTCCTGGCAAATATTTTCCCTTCTTTCAAGAAAAGTAAAATAGTGATTGTATTTTATTTTATTTTAGACTTTCCCCTTTACTTTATCTTGATTTTCAAGTTAAAAAGTGTCACAGTAATAAGTTTCAGCCATTTTTGAAGATAACTCAGAGACAGGATTTTCCAAGAATCCTTCTACACCCACTGAAAGAAGAATGTGTTTGTGTCTTCGCGCTCCTGTGTGTTTGTTTAGGGAGAGAAGGTTGCAAATAAGAACAGCATGTGAGCCCATCCATAGAACTATGTGCATTTTGAAACACGACAAATCTGTTTCTGTTCCTTGTTTAATGTCGGGAAATGTGTTTCCTGTCGTAATTGGGGCTGTTCACTTTTGGTGATATTTAAAACGGGCCCAACAGAGACAAGTTGATGTTTGGTTAACCACGAAGGAAATGGCTTTTGATCAAGCAGGCAATTACTAACCAAATCTGGTAACTTCACAAGCAAAACAAAGGAATTTGTTAACTAAGTTTTCTTCTACAGTAATGCGCAAGGCAATTATTTATGAATGAAAGAGAGTTTTCCGTGCCGGTGAGCAATAGACAGTGAGGAGTGAGCCACCAGGACTAGACTCTCATCACAAAACATCATTTCCAAACTCAGGGCAGGAGTGCCCTTTTTATGTCGCTGGGTGTGTATATGCGGGAAGAAGGCTAAGTGCAAGTGGCAGCATAATCCTGAGGTGGCAAGGTCTCCGCCTGCTGTAGCAGAAGAGGCTTGTGGCTACGTCATAAATAATCCTATCCAGGCAACTCAGGAAACAGTGTCTTTCTTCCCATCTCCACTCCCCTCTGTGAGCTCTGCAGTGCTCCGTTTCAGGGCCATGACGGCCGGGGGAAACTTCACTTCTGGCCTTTGGGGAGAGGGCTTTTGAGAGACCAGGCTCTGACGCTCCGCAGAATCAGGTAGTTAGCCAGGGACAAGTGTTGCCAAAAACTCAATTCAACATGATTACATGTGAAGGGCTAGATGTATACTGCCTGGGTAGACGCAGCAGTGCGGTCTGCTGGGGGCAAATTTTGGCATTCCAAAGAGGCTCATCTTGTCTCATGACCTTAGCAGGTGCACTTAATTCCTGGTGGCTCCTACAAAGTCGTACCCGAGGAAGCAGCCCAATAGAAGAGAACAAGGGCTTGGCTTCTCAAGATTCAGGAGACTTTGACAGAGTTCTGGGGCGATACCACTCACAGGTGTGAGGCCTCCAACAATAACCACTACCTCTTTCTTTCTTTCTTTCTTTCTTTCTTTCTTTCTTTCTTTCTTTCTTTCTTTCTTTCTTTCTTTCTCTTCTTTCTCTTTCTTCCTTCTTTCTTTCTTTTCTTTCATTCTTTCTGTCTTTCTCTTTCTTTTTTTAAGCTTGCTATCTTGCTACATGTTAACTCTTAATCCTCATGTTGCTACATGTTAACTCTTAAACCTCACAGCAGCAACAATAACAAATCAGGTAGGTAACTTCATTCTTCCATTATCCGCCTCAAGTAATCGAGATTTAAGAGAGCACATTAGTGGTGGAGCTAGCTGCCAATCTCCAGTGCTGTGGTGACTCTACAAGACCACTGCTCAGGGATCAGCAAGTAAGGAATTTTAAACCGTCTGCCATCATTCCAATAGCCTGCTCCTGCCCCAAGTCCCTGCGGTGATTATCAGAGGGCCCAGGGGCAAAAACCCGACTGCAGCTTCTTGCAGCCAGCATAAGCTATCCTATTTTGCATGTTCCTTTGTCTCCTTGGTGCTACTCTTGGAACAAACCAGAACTTCCCAGCAGTTTGCGGAGCGGGCGCCTTCTGGGCAGAGCCAGATACCTAGCTTTCTTCCAGCCAAGCGTACCTCACAGGACCTTTGCTGCTGTAGAGCTTGAATCTTGACTTAGTAATTTAGGTCGCGAATGGCTGCTCTGGGCGCCAAGATGTGCTCAAAAGTTTGGGGTGAGGTTGCTGCACTCATCAGGGACTCCAAAAGCACTTTCCTGTGATAGTAAAGCTCTGTCTGGGTCAAACAGGCCGTTTTACAAACACTTTAGAAAGTCAAAGCACAAGTGCCATTTTCCGGTGCTCCTCTGAATCCCTATTACCCAGTTATATCATCCGACCTGTGATTCAGCTTCCCAGTATCTTCCTGGACCAGCATGACCTTTGAAAGACCATGATCCAGGGCGCCATCGATTTATTAAAAACACTATTTTGTGAGAAGCCAAGAAGTTTCTGATATTATTCCCCTTGCCGGAATGTAACAAAATGCCACTCATATTTTTAAATTGGGAGAGTTTAGGCGGTTTATTTTTTACCATCCATAGAAAAAAAATATTGGACATGATTAATGGATAATTGTTGGCTAGAATTTCAGACAGCATTCTCTCTCTTACTTAGCATAATTGCTTAACTGTGTCCAGATTTGCCAGTTACCTCTATTTAAAAAAATACAAGTGGCCAGCTCCAGGGGCAATTAGCACATCATCACCTAGGGAGCCCAATGAGATAACTTTGGATATTAACTTGCAAACAATTATTAATTTAATGAATTTACACATATATGTTAGCCTAAGAATAATCTATTGAACCAGTTACAATAATTATACTTTGATGAAATTTAGGCTTTATTCTCTAGAAAATCTTAAATACAACCCTGTATTCAAATTTTCAATTACAAATTTTAACACAATGATGCAAGTGTGTATTTCACATTGGTGAACTTATTTTAATATTTTAAAGCCATGTCTATTTAATGAAAACCATGCATTGAAAACTGACTGATTTCTTGCTTAGGATCATCGCGACAACTGAAGTAGATTGAACAGCACATCTAATTGACTGAGCAAAGTTTGGTCACAAGGATTATTGTCACAAAATGAACTTATCAAAAGAAAAAAAATAAATTAGACCTTGTTACTCAAGTGAAGGAACATTTAGTGGGACAAATAGGGGAAAGGTGGGGATAGAAAATTCAGAAAACTTTAAAATGGAGAATAGGTTTAAGTATACGAAAGTTAGCCATACTTCACAAGAGAAAGAAATAAAAGGCATCCTAATAGGGAGATAGGAAGTCAAACTATATGCAGACAGTATGATTCTGTACCTAGAAAACCTCATGGTCTTGGCCCAAAAGCTCCTTGATCTGATAAATGAATTCAGCAAAGTTTCAGGACACAAAATAAATGTACAAAAATCAGTAGCACTTTTATACACTGACAACATCCAAGCTGAGAGCTGAATCAAGAATGCAACACATTTCCAGTATCCACAAAAAGAATAAAATACCTATGAATACAGCTAACCAGGGATGTGAAATATCTCTACAACAAGAGTTACAAAACACCTTTCAAAGAAATCAGAGTTGACACAAAATAGGATCAATATTGTTAAAATGGCCATACTTCCCAAAGCAATCTACAGATTCAATTCTATTCCTGTCAAACTATCTATGACATTCTTCACATAATTAGGGAAAAAAAACTATTTTAAAAGTCATATGGAACCAAAACAGGGCTTGAATGGCCAAGGCAATTGAACAAAGACCATGAACAAAGAACAAAAGAACAAAGCTGGAGGCATCATGTTACCCAACTTCAACCTATAATACAAGGCTGTAGTAAACAAGCAGCATGGTATTGCTACAAAAACAGATACATAGACCAATGTGACAGAATAGAGAGCCCAGAAATAATGCCACACACTTAAAACCATCTGATCTTTGACAATGCCCACAAAAACAAGCAATGAGGGAAGAACTCCCTATTTAATAAATGGTGCCATATGGCTAGCCATATGCAGAAGATTGAAACTGGACACCTTCCTTACACCATATGCAAAAATCAACTCAAGGTGAATTAAAGACTTAAATGTAGAAACTAAAACTATAAAAACCTGGGGAGATAACCTAAGAAATACCATTCTGGATATAAGACCTGGCAAAGATTTCATTATGAAGATGCCAAAAGCAATTGCAACAAAAACAAAACTTGACAAGTGGGACCTAATTAAACTAACGAGCTTCTGTGCAACAAAAGTAAATATCAACAGAGTAAACAGATAACCTACAGAATGGGAGAATATATTCACAAACTATGCATCTGACAAAGTTCTAATATCCAGAATCTATAAGGAACTTAAGTGAATCAACAAAGAAAAGACAAACCACACCATTAAAAAGTGGGCAAAGGACATGAACAACCACTTTTCAAAAGAAGACATAAACGCAGTTAACAAACGTATAAAAAATGCTCAACATCACTAATCATTAGAGGAATACAAATCAAAACCACAATGAGATACCATCTCACACCAGTATGAATGGTTATTATCAAAAAGTCAAAAAATAACAGATGCTGGCAAGGTTGTGGAAAGAAGGGAATGCTTATACACTACTCATGGGAATGTAAATTAGTTCTGCCACTGTGGATAGTAGTGTGGTGATTTCTCAAAGAACTCAAAATACAATTACCATTCAACCCAGCAATCTCATTATTGGGTGTATATCCAAAGGAATATAAATTGTTCTACTATAAAGGCACATGCATGCATATGTTCATCACAGCACTATTTGCAATACCAAAGACATGGAATCAACTTAAATGCCCATCAACAGTAGACTAGATAAAGAAAATGTGATACATATACACCACAGAATACTATGCAGACATAAAAAGGAATGAGATCATGTCTTTTGCAGCAACATGAATGGAGCTGGAGGTCACTATCCTAAGTGAACTAATGCAGGGACAGAAAAACCAAACACAGCATGTTCCCAATTATAAGTGGGAGCTACACAGTGGGTTCACATGGACACAAAGAAGGGAATAACAGAAACCAGGACCTACCAGAGAATGGAGGATGAGCAGAAGGAGATTAATGAAAAACTACCTATCGAATATTTTGATTATTACCTGCATGATAAAATCATCTATACACCAACCCCTGTGACATGCAATTTACTTATATAACAAATCTGCATATGTACCCCTGAACCTAAGAAAAGATTTAAAAAGTCATACTTCAAAGGCTTATTAAAGTGCATGTAGTGATCTCTGATTAAAGTATAAAGACTTTCTTAGATAACAAGAGGTATTTGATGATAATGTTAATTATACTATTACTAAATAATCTTGCTGTACACTTTTTTTGGTGCCTGATTTGTTAATAGTTATTTATAATTGCTAGAAACTGAAAACAACCCACTGTCCTTCAACAGGTAAGTGATTAAACAAATTGAGTACATATGTACCACAATAAAAAGGAATAAACTATTGATACACACTACAACCAGATGAATCTCCAGTTTATCTTCCTCTAATTCTTAGTTTCCTATTGTTTGGTGAGTTGCTGTAGTTTCATTGTAATTATTTACATGGCTTTATTTTTGTAATTGTTTTCAGCATGAAAATAAAACAAGTGAGGAAGTTTTTAATTACATAATTGAAATGTCCATCTTTATTTACAGTTTCTAAATTAATGAGATTCCCCCTCCCCAATGATAAAATTAAATCACATGTAGTAAATGTGGCTGTCATTATAGTGGCATTAAATTACAAATTTAATAGTAGGAAAATCTATGAAATTTTCTATATTTTATTTTATAAATTGATTTTTCTCTTTTTATTGGTACTGATAGAACCCAGCTGAGATAACTTTATCTCTAATCAGATGACATATTATTTTAAAGCATATCAAATAGTGTTTTATTTCTTTATTACAACATGTGTCAGAAACTCAGAAAAGGATAAATCAAATCATTTTAATTTTCTATCATGAAAAATGAAATGAACAGAAAAAGACAATTGGTATAATATAATCAGAAACATTTTTGAAGTGGATGTAGCTTTATATGGTATGTTGGATGACATTTTCCGTTGAATTAGGGGAATGTTTATTTGTTATAGATTGGCTCAGATCATTATCACATTTTGTGATCTTACTGAATTCCAATAAATTACTTTTAGGTTATGTGGTACTCTCTGGCCAGTAAGCAAAAGAAATAAAGCCCAATATTAAATAAGTTTATTAGAAACTGATTTAAGTGCCTTTAAAGGAAGCATCTTATTTTCATACTTGTGAATGTAAGCAATATTCTCATTACATATTAATTTTTCAAAAGCTCAAAGATTAATTCCAAACTAGAGACTACAGGGTAACTAAACTCAGCTGAGAGGCAATTGAATTTTTTTGTGATTCTACTAACTGTTTCATTCTTGCAATAACAAAAAACTGGTGTCTTGCTTTCAGGTAATAGTTCATTTTGAAACATCACCTGTATTTAATTTGGTAACTGATATTATTATCTTTTATGTTTTCATCTGATTATCTTTTGGCTTTCTTCAGTGTTATAGTTATGAATTTGATGCTAACAGATTTTCTATTATAAAATGTATTGTCATTAACCCAATCCATATTTGAATATTTATAAGAACACAAAATTGGCGAACATCTGACAAAATTATCTTTTTCCCTTACTGTGTCATTATATTTTTATACTTTACATACTTAATTATAAAAAAGAACAATTGTTTTCTTTAGAAGTCTTCCAGTGAGTAAAGCATAGAAGTGGCATTAAATTCTAGTAGTTAAGAGAACCAGATGCAGAGTCAGAGAGACCTAGGTCACAGTTTTGAATCTGCCACTTATTACCTGATAACCTTGAATGAATTACTCAGCTTTTCAGAACCTCAGTTTTTTTCATCTATAAAATGTGGATAAGAGCAACACTTATCTCATAGGTTTTCTATAAGAATGAGATAATTCATGGACAGCATCTTGCTAACTTTCATTGAACACTCATTAACAATAACAACAACAGTGCTCATTGACTTACATCCAATATTTTCAAGAAAATTTCTGATGTGAAACCACTTCAAATAATTAAAACTTTTTCAAATTCAAGTTTAGATTTTTTTTTATTATTATACTTTAAGTTTTAGGGTACTTGTGCACAATATGCAGGTTAGTTACATATGCATACATGTGCCATGTTGGTGTGCTGCACCCATTAACTCGTCATTTAGCATTAGGTATATCTCTTAATGCTATCCCTCCCCCCTCCCCCCACCCCACAACAGTCCCTGGAGTGTGATGTTCCCCTTCCTGTGTCCATGTGTTCTCATTGTTCAATTCCCACCTATGAGTGAGAATATGCGGTGTTTGGTTTTTTGTCCTCATGATAGTTTGTTGAGAATGATGGTTTCCAGCTTCATCCATGTCCCTACAAAGGACATGAACTCTTCATTTTTTATGGCTGCATAGTATTCCATGGTGTATATGTGCCACATTTTCTTAATCCAGTCTATCATTGTTGGACATTTGGGTTGGTTCCAAGTCTTTGCTATTGTGAATAGTGCCGCAATAAACATATGTGTGCATGTGTCTTTATAGCAGTATGATTTTATAATCCTTTGGGTATATACCCAGTAATGGGATGGCTGGGTCAAATGGTATTTCTAGTTCTAGATCCCTGAGGAATCGCTACACTGACTTCCACAATGATTGAACTAGTTTACAGTCCCACCAACAGTGTAAAAGTGTTCCTATTTCTCCACATCCTCTCCAGCACCTGTTGTTTCCTGACTTTTTAATGATCGCCATTCTAACTGGTGTGAGATGGTATCTCATTGTGGTTTTGATTTGCATTTCTCTGATGGCCAGTGATGATGAGCATTTTTTCATGTAGAATCTACAATGAACTCAAACAAATTTACAAGAAAAAAACAAACAACCCCATCAAAAAGTGGGCAAAGGATGTGAACAGACACTTCTCAAAAGAAGACATTTATGCAGTCAAGTTTAGATTTTTTGCAGCTATTATCTAATAGTGTAATCTCACCTTGGTTAAAAATTAAAGTGAAATACTTTAATTTCTGATACTTCTATACTTTGCTTAGAAATAAGAGCTAAAATCAGGCAGTATAATTAAAAAACCCTGAATCATGCACTTTGCTTTCCTTTCCCATACATTTAAAAAACTTATTTTGGAATAATTTTAGATTTACAAGAAGTTGGGAGAAATAATAAAAAGATCCTGTGTTCTCTTTACCCAATTTCCTCCATGGTAACATCTTGCAAAAGCATGTGCAATAGCACAATCAAGATACTGACGTTAATATGAACCAAAAATTTTGTTCTGCTTTCACCAGTTTTACATATATTCATTTGTATGTGCATGCCCATGTATATATTTAGTTCTATGCAATTTTATCACACGTGTAGATTTTTGTGTTCACCACCACAGTCAAGATACAGAACAGTTCAATCACCATGAAGATTCCTTATGCTTCCTTTTTATAACTATACTCACCTCCCTCCCATCTCACCTCCATAAATGAAATTTACGGAATATAACCTTTGGGATTGGATTTTTTACTTAGCATATTTCCCTGGAGATTTATCCAGTTATGATGTGTATCAACAGTTTATTCCTTTTTGTACACATTTTGTTTAATCACTTACCTGTTGAAGGACACTGGGTAATCACAAATAACTATTATGAACATTCACGTACAGGTTTTTAAAAACTGCTCCTTCTCTCCATCACCATGCCCTATTGTTTTTATTTGCTCCCCTTGACCATCCTCTTGCACTGTTAACGATTCAACTACAGTTTTTTCGCTGCTCAACTGGTCATTTCTCACTTTCAAGATAATAGGAGGCATAGCAGAATGATGAAATTATTTTGATAAGTTCTGATTAATCTGATCAATGTAGTGACGAGGGATTACTCTTATTACTAGTTGCAAATGAATGAAAAAGTGCTATATTTCTGTGGTAGGTAATATTCAGCCCTTAGCCATTCTTTTGAAATTGCTGACAGGGAGAAAATAAAAAAATACATTTAAGAATTAGGAAGATCATATCTCAAGTGGATATATGGTAAAAGAGTATTTTATACAAGTGTATTGCATTCATATGTCACTAGTAAAGTTAAAAGGATTAAATTGTATTACTTTGGACTCTGAAGACACTTTAATTACTTGGCACTAGATACTGGAATTTTATTTTCATTTGGCGTTCAGAAAAGAATTTCTGAATACACAAGGGCATTTTTAAAGGTTTATCAATTTTACAACAGAATACAGAGATACAGTTATTTTTAATAATTTGTGTAACATAGAAAGATGACACATTTTTGCCTAAATTGCTTTTCTTCTAATCAGAGTCAGCTATTTCCACTGCTTTTCATTTTTCTTTGAAAGAAAATCCTACAAACATTTGTTTTCTTCTGTGCTTTGGATTTGGACTGAAGTCTCTGGTTTCTCTTTGCACATTTTCCATTTCGCATAATTAGGTATAGGATAGTTTTGTTTTGTTTTTCATATTAGTGAATAACTATCATATAATATGGATTGGCAATAGCTATTCACTTCACACTTTAATATTTCTAAAGCAAATCTTTATATAACCAGATCAATAAATCACTGAAACATCATTTGAAGTTTAGAATATTTTTGTCTAACAAGGGATATTTTAAAAGAAATTATAAAAAGCATTTATTATAACAATATTTTGTCATTTTTTGCTCCGTATTTTTAGAACTCATCATAGTTGATTTAGCCTTTGAAGTGTGTAGATAAATTGAATTCCCTGAAGCTTGACTGCTTGAGTGTTTTTCATTTACCATAATAAACACTGAGATCCTGCATTTTTTCCAGTTTTATATAAACATAGGGGAATTAGCCCAGTTTCAATGATCAAAATTCTCCTTCCTCCCACAGTAATGTACCCTGCTGTGGTCCAGCTGTCCACCTGGATAGTTAATTCCACTTTGTAAAACATGCATTTTTTTTATACAAAGTACACTTTAGTGCACCTGGATAAAGGTCTTGTTCATAAAAGAGTTATTGTCATTAGAAAATTAAACAGTTTTGGAATTCATCAAAAATCAATGTTAGTAGTAAAGCTAAAGTTTCAGAATATGATGATTTCAACAATATATTCAAATGCCAATAAATATATTCCATGTAAATAGGTTGCCATGTAAATGTACTGAAATAACTGATTATGAGGATATTTGAAAATACATATTGCTGAGAATTTATATAACAAAATGCAAAGTTGAAATAGAAAAGTCATAGAAGTATGAAATAATAGTCCAGGTCTTACATTTTGTGATACTGTCTTATATATCTTTAACTAGAAAGCAAGTTTAACTTACAAAAATGCAATTTTACTTTAATATTGTGTCCATTAATTACTTGAGACAAAATCCGTTACAAATATCCTTCTGTTAATTGAAGTTTAAAGCATATTTTAATATGTATCATTATCAATTAAGGAGAAAAAATTTAGTGTGATTTATGATATTAGGCATAGTAGAAATAATCTAGAAGCAATATTACACTTGTATTGACAAAGTGACATAGTAGCAATAAGATTTCTATATTGAAGGATCTGGTCATAATTCACTAAAATACAAAGGGTTTGTAATTCTGTCCTTTATAGTCACATGCTTAATTTGCTTCATCAAAGATAGTTTTGACTATTTAGATTCAATTATTGCCTATTATTAAATCAAACCATTAAAACACTTTAAGGACAAATCTTTAATTTCAAAATATCTGAAAGATAAAGTAAACATTAGCAAAAATACCTAGTAGCTTATTCTGATACTTATGAAACAATTTCTCTCTGTGTTCTCAAATGTCATGTCCCTAAGCAAAGCTTAATTTCATCTTCAAGTTTATTTTTCTTCTAATGAAGTTTTACGAACTGCTAGTCTCTTATTTTTATATGATGTATGTTTATGTTCAGAACTGTGACTCCTAAAAAGAAAAATTAAATCTGAAGAGAACTCTACCCTGAAAAGCTTGGAAAACCTATGTGTTAATGTGCATAAAATGAAAATGGAATTTTGAATATTTCTAGTCTTTTCTTTATGTTTTGGTTTATTCTCTTCTCACTGTGCCATACTGTGGGAGAAATCTTTTCAGTAAATTCTGATTCCTTCTAGTTTCCATCCTATTCCATGGGTGTCTACTGAATTTTGAGAATTTTACTTTATATCCCTGTTGTTATTTCCAAGTACTGGTTTGCATGCATGAATAATGATTGTTTGAGTAAGAAATTGTCCTTATTTGCTACAGTTTACTCCTTAAGAATTAATACTGAGTTAATGACAACAGATTTTAAGAGACTACCCCTCTCATTTCTGGTCATTTTATGTACCTGAACCAGCCATCAAGCCTTGGAGTAACATATGCTTTGGTATATATTTCCAGTGACCAAATGTATTCATGATGTAACATGTGAATAGAGAGGGACTATGTCTCCTCTGCTACTGGCATAAGTCAAACAAACTAAAAAATTCTCTAATCTTGTAATCAGAGAGTAGAATATGCAAAACCTGTGGAGGATAACTTTTAGAAGTTAATGTTAGGCATTGAATCTGTAAATTACCTTGGGCAGTATGGCCATTTTCACAATATTGATTCTTCCTACCCATGAGCATGGAATGTTCTTCCATTTGTTTGTATCCTCTTTTATTTCATTGAGCAGTGGTTTGTAGTTCTCCTTGAAGAGGTCCTTCACATCCCTTGTAAGTTGGATTCCCAAGTATTTTATTCTCTTTGAAGCAATTGTGAATGGGAGTTCACTCATGATTTGGCTCTCTGTTTGTCTGTTGTTGGTGTATAAGAATGCTTGTGATTTTTGTACATTGATTTTGTATCCTGAGACTTTGCTGAAGTTGCTTATCAGCTGAAGGAGATTTTGGGCTGAGACGATGGGGTTTTCTAGATATACAATCATGTCGTCTGCAAACAGGGACAATTTGACTTCCTCTTTTCCTAATTGAATACCCTTTATTTCCTTCTCCTGCCTAATTGCCCTGGCCAGAACTTCCAACACTATGTTGAATAGGAGTGGTGAGAGAGGGCATCCCTGTCTTGTGCCAGTTTTCAAAGGGAATGCTTCCAGTTTTTGCCCATTCAGTATGATATTGGTTGTGGGTTTGTCATAGATAGCTCTTATTATTTTGTAATACGTCCCGTCAATACCTAATTTATTGAGAGTTTTTAGCATGAAGGGTTGTTGAATTTTGTCAAAGGCCTTTTCTGCATCTATTGAGATAATCATGTGGTTTTTGTCTTTGGCTCTGTTTATATGCTGGATTACATTTATTGATTTGTGTATATTGAACCAGCCTCGCATCCCAGGGATGAAGCCCACTTGATCATGGTGGGTGGATAAGCTCTTTGATGTGCTGCTGGATTTGTTTTGCCAGTATTTTATTGAGGATTTTTGCATCAATGTTCATCAAGGACTTCATGTCTAAAACACCAAAAGCGATGGCAACAAAAGACAAAATTGACAAATGGGATCTAATTAAACTAAAGAGCTTCTGTACAGCAAAAGAAACTACCATCAGAGTGAACAGGCAACTTACAAAATGGGAGAAAATTTTTGCAACCTACTTATCTGACAAAGGGCTAATATCCAGAATCTACAATGAACTCAAACAAATTTACCAGAAAAAAACAAACAACCCCATCAAAAAGTGGGCAAAGGACATGAACAGACACTTCTCAAAAGAAGATATTTATGCAGCCAAAAAACACAGGAAAAAATGCTCATCATCACTGGCCATCAGAGTAATGCAAATCAAAACCACAATGAGATACCATCTCACACCAGTTAGAATGGCAATCATTAAAAAGTCAGGAAACAACAGGTGCTGGAGAGGATGTGGAGAAATAGGAACACTTTTACACTGTTGGTGGGACTGTAAACCAGTTCAACCTTTTCGAAGTCAGTGTGGTGATTCCTCAGGGATCTAGAACTAGAAATACCATTTGACCCAGCCATGTCATTACTGGGTATATACCCAAAGGACTATAAATCATGCTGCTATAAAGACACATGCACACGTATGTTTATTGCGGCACTATTCACAATAGCAAAGACTTGGAACCAACCCAAAAGTCCAACAATGATAGACTGGATTCAGAAAATGTGGCACATATACACCATGGAATACTATGCAGCCATAAAAAATGATGAGTTCATGTCCTTTGTAGGGACATGGATGAAATTGGAAATCATCATTCTCAGTAAACTATTGCAAGAACAAAAAACCAAACACCGCATATTCTCACTCATAGGTGGGAATTGAACAATGAGATCATATGGACACAGGAAGGGGAACATCACACTCTGGGGACTGTTGTGGGGTGGGGGGAGGGGGGAGGGATAGCATCGGGAGATATACCTAATGCTAGATGACGAGTTAGTGGGTGCAGCGCACCAGCATGGCACATGTATACATATGTAACTAACCTGCACAATGTGCACATGTACCCTAAAGCTTAAAGTATAACAATAAAAGAAAAAAAAAAAAGAAGTTAATGTTAGGGACTGTGGGTCTTCTCTGTCCATATTCCTTATTCTTATCGTCCATCGATGATGTGAAGTGTGCTGTATTTATTCTTTGAACTGTGGCAAACATGTTTGTAATATAACACAATGGACTTTCATGACAGTGTCCAGTTTTATCCCAGAGAAAAACTTAAAGATTTGGCTCAATTTTTCAGGTATCAGATGAACAGTTTAAGTTAGTGTGCATATGAAACTTAATTTACCAAGAATAATTGTTATGTCTCTGTGCAGGTGTAGCCTGAAAGACCTCTAAGAGAACAACATTTATTTTGATGCTTCATATGCTCCAGATGCTTGTGTGTGTTTATTCACATACATATGCGTGGGTTTGTCTATGGGTGTGTGTATCTGTGTGTAAAATTGTTTATAATTATATTTTTTCAATGTACATGTAGGTATGTGTGGTATCAACTAAGTAAATGACCAATATTTTCTGTTTTTATTGGGATCATGAAAACAGTTGTTATCCTCTCTAATTGATATAAACAAAATTCCTTGTAGATATATTAGACCTAGGAGTTATCCGATTGCATATACAAATAATTTTTATTTCATAGGTTCAGCAGAGGTATAAAAATCTTCAATTCTTAAGGCAATATATATTTTTATTTTGGGAAGATTTTTGGTGTGGATTTCACAGCTTATTTTCTAAATATAACTAACTTTATGATAGCATTTTGTAGTCCTAATAGAAATTTAAATTGTCACTGAATATTTAATGAAAGTTGTAGTAATGATATCTGCATGTTTTCCTCTTTAGCAAATCAAATTATTTTTGCATTACCTTTGACTGTTTTCTAATCCTGGCTGACCAATTTCTACTGGTGTTTTACTTCCATAATTTGTAATTTATATTTCTAAGAGGTTTTTAGTCATTTAAAAAGTACCCAATGAATGTCTTTTATGTACCAGGCTTGGTGATAAGCAGCACATGGATTTTGGAATTTGTTTGAATTCTGATGCCACCACTTTCTAGAAGGGTGTCTGTAGAAAAATTTCTTATTCACTCTGAGTTTCAATTTCCTCACCTTAGAATTTGGATAATAAAATAGTACCCATCTTTCAGGTTGTAAGGGACTTAACACGTGCAAACCACTTTCACTTCTCCACTTCTTTTCTGGAATATTGTTTAGAATGTCATCCTAAAACTGTTGAGTTTTTGTTGAAGTGTAGTGCAGTCCAACTTTCTGTGCTTGAGTTAAATCTTACCAAAGTTCAAGAATCCTATTTCCCATGTCTCATCTTCTCTTTGGCTCACATATCGCAACAATCATCCTTCCCCACCCGCTAAATCCCATTTTCTTCTTCCATCCTTCAAGCTGATGATCTCAAATATTTCTTTATTCAGTACAGAGAAAATTTGTTTTAATTTACATCATCTTGACCTAATAATGTCATTTTGTATGTATCCATTTTCACATTCTTCCTGCTTGTACTTCTCTTTAATCTGTATACTTTTCCTCACCTCCTCTTGAGCCATAAGAGACCATCCTCCTACATTTATCTCTTGACTTCATTCAGATTCTATATATTTTTTCTTATTTCTTTTTTTCTAACATGCTTTCATGTAAGCAAGTACTTACCTATGTTTCAAAGATTGTGCTTCATTTTATCACCCTTATTAATTACCTTTTCACTATTTCTCATCTGTTAATTGCCAAACATCGTTGAATGAAGTATCTGTACATACACTTTTATTATTTTACTATTGACTATTCCTTTTAATCAATCTAGTTTCCTTCTCCTATTTTTCATAGATATGGAATTTTTCTAGCCAAAGCTAATGTTCGGGTCTTTAATCCCTTTTTTTTCTTTTTCCTCAATTTAATGTTTGAATAGTTAATGGAGTCACATAGTCCAAAAATCAACACTTTATACAAATGAATACATAGAGTTCTTCCTTCCCATTTCTGTTCTCATCCGTCATGTTTTAGCACCTTCGCACCCAACATGAGACATTAAAAGTAGTTTTTTTGTGTGTGTTTATGTCATTTCAATATTTTTTAAATGCCAATACAAGTAAACTTACTCCCATTTTACACAAAAGATAACATAATGTATAAATTGCTCTGTAGTTTTTATTTTTCACTCACGATGTCCTTGGAGTCATTGCAGTCCATAGGGATCTTCCTTATCATTTCTTAATATCAGGACTATATTCTATTGTGTGGGTGAATTATGGCTAATTTTACCCATCCACCATGGATGGACACTGACTTGTTTTCAGTCTTTGGCTATTACAAGCAATCCTGAAGAAAATAACTTTGAACATACGTTTTTTGATATGTGTCTTATGTGCATGATCAGTGGGATAAATTCCCAGAAACAGACACACACATTTGAAATTTTGATTTATAGTACCAAATTCTCCCCTATAGGTGTATCATTTTACACGTTCCACCAGATTTATATGAAAGTAACTATTTTCCCATTGTTTTGTGGAATAAATGTGTTATAATTTTATGGCAGATAAGATCTCAGTGCAGTTTTACTTTACAATTCTGTTCTTATATGATTGAACATATTTCCTTATTTTAAGAGGTGGCCATTGATGGGACAAAAGGTATATAAATGAAACTGGTAAATTGTTTTCCAAAGTGATTGTAGCATTTTTCACTCTCATGAGCCGTATTATAAGGTTTCTAGGTTCTCCATATCCTTACAAATACTTTGTGTTGTCAATGTTTTTAATTTTAGTCATTCTCGAATATGTGAAGTAGTATACAATTGTGACTGTATTTGCTTTTTCCTGATGACTCTTGATGTTGAGGATCTTCTCACATGCTAATTATCCATTTACATATTTTTTGGGGGGTTGCGTTTGTGTTTGAGTAAGGAATCAAGGGATTAATGGATTCAGGAAGAAATAAATGATCAAGGGATTGGTAGCATTCAGGAGGGCTAAGAGCAGGTTCAGCAAGAATAAGTGAGAGATGTAGAATATAAAAACTTGCACTCATATATTTTCTTCTGTGAAGTATCTATTCAAGTGTTTAGCTCATTTTAATCAGTTTGTTTTTCTTTTTATAGTCTAATTATAGAAGGGTTTTATTTTTTTACATATTCTGGTTGAGTCCTTTGTTCTATATGTGAATTGCAAGTATTATCTCCAAGTCTGTAATTTGCGTTACCAGTTAGGTAATGTATTTTTTGATGAGCAGATAGTTTTAATTTTGATGAAGTATCATTTATCTTTTTTGTTTATGTTTAGTGCTTTTGTGTAATTTGCTTAAAACAAATCTTTGCTTAAGCTGTAAAAATATTCTATGTTTTTCTTTAGAAACATGTTAGTCTTAGCTTTTATGTTTAAGTTGATTGTTCATCTTGAATCAACTATTCTTTGTGATATAAGGTAGGAATTGAGGTTAATATTTCTGTATATGGATATCTGGTTTTTCCAGCACCTTGAAAAGTCCCTGCTTTCCACACTGAATTACCTTGTCACTTCTGTGGAAAATTAAGTGATTATATGTGAGTCTAGAAATAGACTCTATTGTATTCCATTGCTCTATTTATCTGTCTTAATGCTAACACCATGCTGTCTTAATGACCATAGTTTTCTAGTAAGTTTTGAAACCAGATACCTGTCTCCAAATTTGGTCTTATTTTAAGAATTATATTGGCTGTTTCAGATCCTTTGCCATTTCATAAATTTGAGAATCAACGTGTTAATTATTTTCTTATTTGTGTAGTTTATTCCTTGTCTTGTTCCGTTTGTGTTGCTATAACAAAGTACCACAAACTGAGTAATTTATAAAGAACAGTAATTTATTTCTCTTACTTCTGGAGGCTGAGAGTCCAAAATCAGGGCACTGACAGGTCTGGTTTTCAGAAAGGGCCCAGTCCCTACCTCCAACATGACACCTTATTGCCACATCCTTCAGAGAGAAAGAATGCTGTGTTCTCACATGATGAAAGTGTTGGGCAAAAAAGACATACATTTTGTGAAACCAGCTCTATAAAGGCCTTAATCTCATTCATGAGAAAGAAGTCCTCATGACCTAATCACCTCCTAAAAGGGATCACTTCTTACTTCTTTTTAAAAAATTCATTTTTAGTTTATATGTAATATTTGTACATATTTATGGAAAAAGTGATATTTTGATACATATATAATATATAATGATCAAATCAGAGTAATTAACATATTCATCACCTCAAATGTTTATCATTTTCCTGTGTTGTAAACATTCAAAATCCTCTTTTTCAGCTTTTTGAAAATATACAATAAATTATAGTTAACCATGTTTATCCTACAGTGCTGTGGAACACCACAACTCATTTCTCCTATGTAGCATTAATTTTTATCGTTAACTTGCCTCTCTCCATCTTCCCTCCTACCTATACTTCTCAGCTTCTAACATCTACAATTTTACTTTCTACTTTAATTAGCTCAAAAAATTTTTAGCTCCTATCTTTGTGTAAGAACATGTGGTATTTCTTTTTCTCTGCCTTACCTATTTTACGTAAGATAATGTCCTCCAAGCTCATCCATGGTGTCCTAAATTATATTCTTTTTATGGCTGAATAGTATTCCATTGTGCATATAAGGCACATTTTCTAAATACATTCAACTGTTGATAGACATTTAGGTTGATTCCATATCTTAGCTATTATGAACAGAGCTTCAGTAAACATGTGGGTATAGGTATACCTTTGATATACTGATTTTCTTGCCTTTGGATGAATACCCAATAGTGGAATTGCAGGTTATATGGTAGGTATATTTTAAGTTTTTGGATGAAACTCCATACTGTTTGCCATAATGGCTGTATTCATTTGTATTTCCATCAACAGTGTATACCTGTTCCCTTTTCTCTTTATGCTAGACAGCATTCATTATTTTTTGTCTTTTTAATGATAGCCACTTTAACTGGGGTGACATGGTATATAATTGTGGTTTTGATTTGCATTTCCCTGGTGATTAGTGATGTTGAACATTTTTATATGTACCTGTTGGCCATTTGTATGTCTTCTTTAGAGAAATGATTATTTAGATATTTTACCTATTTTTTATTAAATTATATATTTTTTCCAACTGAGTTGTTTGAATTTCTTATCGATTTTGCTTATTAATACCTTGTCAGATGGAAAGTTTGCAAAATTTTTTTCTGATTTGGTATGTTGTCTTTTCACTTTAATTGTTTCATTTGCTATACAAAATGTTTTTTACCTTGATGTAGTCCCATGTGTCTATTTTTTTTAATCTAGTTGACTGTTCTTTTGACAAAAACTCTTTGCCAAGACCAATGTCCTGAAGCATTTGTCCAATGTATTTTTCTACTAGTTTTATAGATTCAGGACTTAATATTTATATTTTTATTTTTTAATTGATGTTTTATGTAGGGAGATATACGGATCAAGTTTCATTCTTTTCTTCTGCATATGGATATCCATCCAGTACTGCAAGCAACATTTATTCAAGAGACTCCCCCTTTTTAAATGAGAGACACCTCTGTCAAAAATAAGTTGGTTGTAAATGCATAGATTTGTATCTAGGCCCTCTACTCTGTTCCATTGATCAATATATCTGTTTTTATGCCAGTATGATGCTGTTTTGGTTACTATAGATTAGTAATTAATATATTTTGTTGTCAGATAATGTGATGTCTACAACTTTGTTCTTTTTGCTGAGAATTGCTTTGGCTATTTGGGCTTTGTCTTGGTTCCATACAAATTCTAGAATTTCTTTTTCTATTTTTCTGAAAAATGACTGGCATTTTTATAAGGATTACATTTAATCTGTGGATTTCTTTGGGTAGCATGGTGACTTTAATGATGGTAATTCTTCCAGTCCATGAGTTTGGGGTATCTTTTCATTTGTTTTTGACCTCTTCAACTTCTTTCAGTAGGTTTTTATAGTTTTTCTTAGGGAGGTCTTTCACATGCTTGGTTATACATATTTATAAGTATTTTTTGTAGTTATTGCAAATGGGACTTACTTCTGATTTTTTCAGCAAGTTCATTATTGGTGTATAGAAACACTACTGATTTTTTATATTGACTTTATGTTCTATTACTTAATTAAATTTATTTATCAGATCTAAGAGTTTTTGTTGTTGTTTTTGTTGTTGTTAGAGCGTTCAGGGTTTTTAGATGTATGATAATGTCCTCTGGAAACAGGAACAATTTGACTCCCCAATTTCCAATTTGTGCCTTTTATTTCTATCTGTTGCCTAAATGTGCTGGCGAGGACTTCCAGTACTATGTTGAATAGGAGTGGTGAAAGTGGGCATCCTTGTCTTGTTCTAGTTCTTAGAAGAAAGTCTTTGAGCTTTTCCTCATTGAATATATTGTTAGCTGTGGTTTTATTATATATAACCTATATTATGTTGAGATATGTTCCTTCTATGCCTAGTTTGTGGAGAGCTTTTGTTATGAAGGAGTGTTGAATTATTTCAAATGCTTTTTCTAAATCTGTTGAGATGATCACATAATTTTTGTCTTTCATTCTATTGATTTGATGTATCATTTTTATTGAATTTGCATATGTTGAACTATACTTGCATCCCTGGAATACATTCCACTTGATCATGGTGTATTATCTTTTAGATATGTTATTAGATTTGATTTGGTAGTATTTTGTTGACGATTTCTGCATCTTTGTTCATCATGGAAATTTGCCTATAGTTTTCTTTTTTTGTTGCATCCTAGCCTGGTTTTATATCAAGATAATTGTAAAATGAGTTGTGGAGAATTCCCTCTTAATTTTTTTGAAACGGTTTGAGGAGAATTGGCATTAGTTCTTTTCTGTGTGTTTGGTAGAATTCTGCGGTGAACCCATCCAGTCCTGGGATTCTCTTTGTTGGGAGACTTTTTATTACTGAGTCAATATTATTACTCTTTATTTGTTTGTTCAGGTTTTCTTTTTCTTTCTGATCCAGTCTTGGTAGGTGTATGTTTTCGGGAATTCATCTATTTCTTTTAAGTTTTCTAATTTTTAATTGTATAATTGCTCATAATAATCTCTGACGTTCATTTGTATTTCAGTGGTATCAGTTGCAATGTCTCCATTTTTGTTTCTCATTTTATATATTTTGGTCTTGTCTTTTTTTTCCCTTGGTTATTCTAGCTAACAGTGTACTTACTTTGTTTATCTCCTCAAACACCAATTTTTTGTTTCATTGATGCATCTTCATTTTTTGAGGGGCCTCTATTTTGTTTTATTCTGCTCTGATCTTTGTTATTTCTTCTGCTAATTTTAGGATTTATTTTTTCTTGCTTTCTAGTTTGCATAAGTACATCACTAGATTGTTTATTTGAACACTCCCACTATTTTATTTTAATGTAAGTATGTTTGGTGTAAAATTCCCTCTTAGCACTGTTTTTGCTGTATCCCATAAGTTTTCATATGCTGTACTTAGATTTGCATTCATCTGTTTCAATATTTTTTTCATGTCTTTATTAGTTTATTTCTTGACCCAATGGTCACTCAGAAGCATGTCTTTAAAAATTTAATTTAATTTAATTTTAGGTTCCAGGATACTCATGCAGGTCATGTAGGATTGTTACATAGGTAGACATTTGCCATGGTGGTTTGCTGCACCTATCAACCCATCACCTAGGTATTAAGCCCTGCATGCATTAGCTGTTTATCCTCTCTCTCCATCCCCCTGACAGGCCACAGTGTGTGTTGTTCCTCTCCCTGTATCTATGTGTTCTTATTGTTCAGCTCCCATTTATTTATTATTATTATTATTATTATTATTATTATTATTATTATTATTATTTTAAGACAGAGTCTCGCTCTCTTGCCCAGGCTGGAGTGCAGTGGCACAATCTCGGCTCACTGCAAACTCTGCCTTCTGGGTTTACGCCATTCTCATGCCTCAGTCTCCTGAGTAGCTGGGACTACAGGTGCCCGCTACCACGCCCGGCTAATTTTTTGTATTTTTAGTAGAGACAAGCTTTCACGGTGTTAGCCAAGATGGTCTCAATCTCCTGACCTCATGATCCACCCGCCTCAGCCTCCCAAGTGCTGGGATTACAGGCGTGAGCCACTGCGCCTGGCTGTTCAGCTCCCATGTAGAAGTGAGAACATGTGGTGTTTGGTTTTCTGTTCTGCATTAGTTTGCTGAGGATAATGGCTTCCAATTTTATCCATGTCTCTGCAAAGGATGTGATCTAGTTCCTTTGTATGGCAGCATAGTATTCCATGGTGTATATGTACCACATTTTCTTTATCCAGTCTATTATTGATGGGCATTTGGGTTGACTCCATGTCTTTGCTATTGTGAATACTGCTGCAATGAACATATGCGTGCATGCATCTTTATAATAAAACGATTTATATTCTTTTGGGTATTTACCCAGTAGTGAAATTTCTGGGTCAAATGGTATTTATGGTTCTAGGTCTTTGAGGAATCACCATACTGTCTTCCACAATGGTTGAACTAATTTACATTCCCACCAACAGTGTAAAAGTGTTCCTATTTCTCCACAGCCCTGCCAGCATCTGTTGATTCTTGACCTTTTGATAATCACCATTCTGACTGGTGTGAGGTGGTATCTCATTGTGGTTTTGATTTGCATTTCTCTAATGAATAGTGATGTTGACCTTTTTATCATGTATTTGTTGGCCACATAAATTTCTTTTGAAAAGTGTCTGTTCATGTCCTTTGCCCATGTTTTAATGTGTGTTTTTGTTGTTGTTGTTGTTGTAGTAAATTTGTTTAAGTTCCATGTAGATTCTGGCTATTAGACCTTTGTCAGATGGATAGATTGGAGAAATTTTCTTCCATTCTGTATATTGTCTGTTCACTCTGTTGATAGTTTCTTTTGCTGTACAGAAGCTCCTTCTTTTAATTAAATCTCATTTGTCAATTTTTGCTTTAGTTAAAATTGCTTTTCACATTTTTGTCATAAAATCTTTGCCTGTGCCTAAGTCCTGAATGGGATTACCTAGATTTTCTTCTAGGATTTTCATAGTTTTGAGCCTTACATTTAAGTCTTTAATCCATCTTGAGTTAATTTTTGTATAAGGTGTAAAAAAGGGGTCCTGTTTCAATTTTCTGCATATGGCTAGCCAGTTTTCCCAGCAACATTTATTAAATAGGGAATCCATTCCCCATTGCTTCTTTTTGTCAGGTTTGTCAAAGATCAAATGCTTGTAGATGTGTGGTCGTATTTCTGAGATCTCTATTCTGTTCCATTGGTCTATGTGTCTGTTTTTGTGTAATTACCATGCTGTTTTGGTTACTATAGCCTTGTAGTATAGTTTGTCATCAGGTAGCACAATGCCTCCAGCTTTGTTCTTTTTGCTTAGAATTGTCTTGGCTATATGGGCTCTTGTTTGGTTCCATATGAATCAATCTTTCTTTCTTTCTTTTTTTTTTTTTTTTTGACAGAGTCTCACTCTGTCACCAGGCTGGAGTGCAGTGGCGCCATCTTGGCTCACTGCAACCTCAGCCTCCTGAGTTCAAGTGATTCTCCTTCCTCAACCTTCTGAGTAGCTAGGACTACAGGCACGTGCTACCACACCTAGCTAATTTTTGTATTTTTAGTAGAGATGGGGTTTCGCCATGTTGGCCAGGATGGTCTTGATCTCTTGACCCTGTGATCTGCCTGCCTTCCATATGAATTTTAAAGTAGTTTTGTCTAATTCTGTGAAGAATGTCAGTGGCAGTTTAATGGGAATAGCATTGAATCTGTAAATTACTTTGGGTAGTATAGCCATTTTTGCAATATTGATTCTTCCTATCCATGAGCATGGAATGTTTTGTCTTTTGTTTGTGTCCTCTTATTTACTTGAACAGTGGTTTGTAGTTCTCCTTGAAGAGCTCTTTCACTTCCCTTGTTAACTGTATTTTGAGGTACTTTATGCTTTTTGTAGCAATTATTCATGGGAGTTCATTCATGATTTGGCTCTCTGCTTGTCTATTGTTGGTGTATAAGAAGGCTTGTGATTTTTGCACATTGATTTTATATCTTGATACTTTGCTGAAGTTGCTTATCAGCTTAAGGAGCTTTGGGGCTGAGATGCAATGGGGTTTTCTAGACATAGAATTATGTCATTTGCAAACAGAGACAGTTTGACTTCCTCTCTTCCTATTTGAATATCCTTTATATTTTCCTCTTGTCTGATTGCCATGGCCAGAACTTTCAATACTATATTGAATAGGAGTGGTGAGAGAGGGCATCCTTATCTTCTGCCAATTTTCAAAGGGAATATGTCCAGCTTTTGTTCATTCAGTATGATATTGACTATGGGTTTGTCATAAATGACTCTTATTATTTTGAGGTATGTCCCATCAGTGCCTAGTTTTTTGAGAGTTTTTAACATTAAGGGGTGTTGAATTTTATTGAAGACGTTTTCTGTGTCTATTGGGATAATCATGTGGTTTTTCTCTTTAGTTCTCTTTATGTGATAAATTATTGATTTGTGTATGTTGAACCAGCCTCGCATTCCAGGAGTGAAGCTCACTTGATCATAATGGATAAACTTTTTAATGTGCTGCTGGATTCAGTTTGCCAGTATTTTATTAAGGATATTTGCAATGATATTCATCAGGGATATTGACCTGAAGTTTTCTTTTTCTGTTGTATCTCTGCCAGGTTTTGGTATTAGGATGATTTTGGCCTCATAAAATGAGTCAGGAAGAAGTACCTCCTTTTCAATGGTTTGGAATAGTTTTAGAAGGAATGGTACCAGATCCTTTTTGTACCTCTTGTAGAATTCAGCTGTAAATCAATCTGGTCCTGGGCTTTTTTTTTTTTTTTTTTTTTTGTAGGCTATTTATTACTGCCTCAATTTCAGGACTTGCTATTGATCTATTCAAGGATTCAACTTTTTCCTGGTTCAGTCTTGGGAGGGTGTGTGTGTCCAGGAGTTTAATCATTTTTCTAGATTTCCTAGTTTATTTTCATAGAGGTATTTATAATATTCTCTCATGGTTGTTTGTATTTCTGTGGCGTCTGTATTGTGTCTATTTGATTCTTCTCTCTTTTCTTCTTTATCAGTCAAGCTACCAGTCTATCTATTATATTAATTTTTTCAAAAACCCAGCTCCTGGATTCATTGATGTTTCGAAGCATTTTTCATGTTTCTGTCTTTTTCAGTTCCACTCTGATCTTGATTGTTTCTTGTCTATTAGATGTCTATTAGGTCTGCTTGGTGCAGAGCTGAGTTCAATTCCTGGGTATCCTTGTTAACTTTCTGTCTCGTTGATCTGTCTAATGTTGACAGTGGGGTGTTAAAGTCTCCCATTATTAATGTGTGGGAGTCTAAGTCTCTTTGTAGGTCACTCAGGACTTGCTTTATGAATCTGGGTGCTCCTGTATTGGTTGCATATATATTTAGGATAGTTAGCTCCTCTTGTTGAATTGATCCCTTTACCATTATGTAATGGCCTTCTTTGTCTCTTCTGATTTTTGTTGGTTTAAAGTCTGTTTTATCAGAGACTAGGATTGCAACCCCTGCCTTTTTTTGTTTTCCATTTGCTTGGTAGATCTTCCTCCATCCCTTTATTTTGGGCCTATGTGTGTCTCTGCCCATGAGATGGGTTTCCTGAATACAGCAGACTGATGGGTCTTGACTCTTTATCCAGTTTGCCAGTCTGTGTCTTTTAATTGGAGCATTTAGTCCATTTACATTTAAAGTTAATATTGTTATGTGTGAATTTGATCCTGTCATTATGATGTTAGCTGGTTATTTTGCTCATTAGTTGATGCAGTTTCTTCCTAGTCTCGATGGTCTTTACATTTTGGCATGATTTTGCAGTGGCTGGTACTGGCTGGTACTGGTGTTGATCTAAAATCGACACCCTAACATCACAATTAAAAGAACTAGAAAAGCAAGCACAAACACATTCAAAAGCTAGCAGAAGGCAAGAAATAAATAAAATCAGAGCAGCACTGAAGGAAATAGAGACACAAAAAACCCTTCAAAAAATTAATGAATCCAGGTGCTGGTTTTTTGAAAGGATCAACAAAATTGATAGACCACTAGCAAGACTAATAAAGAAGAAAAGAGAGAAGAATCCTATAGATGCAATAAAAAATGATAAAGGGGATATCACCACTGATCCCACAGAAATAGAAACTACCACAAGAGAGTACTACAAACACCTCTACGCAAATAAACTAGAAAATCTAGAAGAAATGGATAAATTCCTCGACACATACACTCTCCCAAGACTAAACCAGGAAGAAGTTGAATCCCTGAATAGACCAATAACAGGCTCTGAAATTGTGGCAATAATCAATAGCTTACCAACCAAAAAGAGTCCAGGACCAGATGGATTCACAGCCGAATTCTACCAGAGGTACAAGGAGGAACTGGTACCATTCCTTCTGAAACTATTCCAATCAACAGAAATAGAGGGAATCCTCCCTAACTCATTTTTTGAGGCCAGCATCATCCTGATACCAAAGCCAGGCAGAGACACAACCAAAAAAGAGAATTTTAGACCCATATCCTTGATGGACATTGACGCAAATATCCTCAATAAAATTCTGGCAAACCGAATCCAGCAGCACATCAAAAAGCTTATCCACCATGATCAAGTGGGCTTCATCCCTGTGATGCAAGGCTGGTTCAACATATGCAAATCAATAAATGTAATCCAGCATATAAACAGAACCAAAGACAAAAACCACATGATTATCTCAATAGATGCAGAAAAGGCCTTTGACAAAATTCAACAGCCCTTCATGCTAAAAACTCTCAATAAATTAGGTATTGATGGGACATATCTCAAAATAATAAGAGCTATCTATGACAAATCCACAGCCAATATCATACTGAATGGGCAAAAACTGGAAGCATTCCCTTTGAAAACTGGCACAAGACAGGGATGCCCTCTCTCACCACTCTTATTCAACATAGTGTTGGAAGTTCTGGCCAGGGCAATTAGGCAGGAGAGGGAAATAAAGGGTATTCAATTAGGAAAAGAGGAAGTCAAATTGTCCCTGTTTGCAGATGACATGATTGTATATCTAGAAAACCCCATTGTCTCATCCCAAAATCTCCTTAAGCTGATAAGCAACTTCAGCAAAGTCTCAGGATACAAAATCAATGTACAAAAATCAGAAGCCTTCTTATATACACCAAAAACAGACAAACAGAGAGCCAAATCATGAGTGAACTCCCATTCACAATTGCTTCAAAGAGAATAAAATACCTAGGAATCCAAATTACAAGGGATGTGAAGGACCTCTTCAAAGAGAACTACAAACCACTGCTCAAGGAAATAAAAGAGGATACAAACAAATGGAAGAATATTCCATGCTCATGGGTAGGAAGAATCAATATCGTGAAAATGGCCATACTGCCCAAGGTAATTTACAGATTCAATTCCATCCCCATCAAGCTACCAATGACTTTCTTCACAGAATTGGAAAAAACTACTTTAAAGTTCGTATGAAACCAAAAAAGAGCCCGCATTGCCAAGGCAATTCTAAGCCAGAAGAACAAAGCCGGAGGCATCACACTACCTGACTTCAAACTATACTACAAGGCTACAGTAACCAAAACAGCATGGTACTGGTACCAAAACAGAGATATAGATCAATGGAATGGAACAGAGCCCTCAGAAATAATGCCGCATATCTACAACTATCTGATCTTTGACAAACCTGAGAAGAACAAGCAATGGGGAATGGATTCCCTATTTAATAAATGGTGCTGGGAAGACTGGCTAGCCATATGTAGAAAGCTGAAACTGGATCCCTTCCTTACACCTTATACAAAAATTAATTCAAGATGGATTAAAAACTTAAGCGTTAGACCTAAAACCATAACAACCCTAGAAGAAAACCTAGGCATTATCATTCAGGACATAGGCATGGGCAAGGTCTTCATGTCTAAAACACCAAAAGCAATGGCAACAAAAGCAAAAATTGACAAATGGGATCTAATTAAACTAAAGAGCTTCTGCACAGCAAAAGAAACTACCATCAGAGTGAACAGGCAACCTACAAAATGGGAGAAAATTTTCGCAACCTACTCATCTGACAAAGGGCTAATATCCAGAATCTACAATGAACTCAAACAAATTTACCAGAAAAAAACAAACAGCCCCATCAAAAAGTGGGTGAAGGATATGATCAGACACTTCTCAAAAGAAGACATTTATGCAGCCAAAAAACATGAAAAAATTGTCATCATCACTGGCCATCAGAAAAATGCAAGTCAAAACCACAGTGAGATACCATCTCACACCAGTTAGAATGGCAATCATTAAAATGTCAGGAAACAACAGTTGCTGGAGAGGATGTGGAAAAATAGGAACACTTTTACACTGTTGGTGGGACTGTAAACTAGTTCAACCATTGTGGAAGTCAGTATGGTGATTCCTCAGGTATCTAGAACTAGAAATACGATTTGACCCAGCCATCCCATTACTGGGTATATACCCAAAGGACTACAAATCATGCTGCTAGAAAGACACATGCACACGTATGTTTATTGCGGCATTATTCACAATAGCAAAGACTTGAAACCAACCCAAATGTCCAACAATGATAGACTGGATTAAGAAAATGTGGCACATATACACCACGGAATACTATGCAGCCATAAAAAATGATGAGTTCATGTCCTTTGTAGGGACATGGATGAAATTGGAAATCGTCATTCTCAGTAAACTATTGCAAGAACAAAGAACCAAACACCGCATGTTCTCACTCATAGGTAGGAATTGAACAATGAGAACACATGGACACAGGAAGGGGAACATCACACTCTGGGGACTGTTGTGGGGTGGGGGGAGGGGGGAGGGATAGCATTGGAAGATATACCTAATGCTAGATGACGAGTTAGTGGGTGCAGCACACCAGGATAGCACAAGTATACATAAGTAACTAACCTGCACATTGTGCACATGTACCCTAAAACTTAAAGTATAATAATAATAAAAAATAAATAAATAAATAGTAAATAAATAAATAAAACAAAACAGCAACAATAAAAAAAAAAGGAAAACCAAACACCGCATGTTCTCACTTATAAGTAGGAGCTGAATGATGAGAACACACGAACACAGGGAGGGGAACGACACACACTGGGGCCTGTCTGGGGGACCAGGAGGAGGAAAAGCATCAGGAAAAATAGGTAATGCGTGATGGGCTTAATACCTAGGTGATGGGTTGATAGCTGCAGTAGACAACCATGGCAAACTCTTTCCTATGTACCAAACCTGCACATCCTGCACATGTATCCCAGAACTTAAAATAAATTAACAAATAAAAAAACCAAGGCAAAGTGGTTTCTAGAGACAAGGTTTCGATTAATCATATACTCTAATTGAACCATTAAGCTCCTTCAAAAATAAAGAAAAATAAGGATTATAATTTATGTCATAGATATAAAGTTTACATATAATATATCAGATCATTTATTTATACATTTACTCACTATGTATTTATTAAGTACCCCAATAAACTGCCATCTTTTTGAAAGCAGAAATGAAATTCTATTCATCTTTCTATCTAGCACTTGGAATAGTGTTGGTTACTTGGGAAGTGTTCAAGAAATGAGTTAATTAATTAGTGGACATATAAGAATATTCTGAGCTTAAGACACATATCGGTTTTGAAATTAAGATATTTTCAGTTTTTTAAATAATAAGAGCTTACTTTTGAACATTTAAAAGATGAAGTATGTTAGATGCAATAAAATTTATGGGCTCTATATTGTAAAAGCAGTAAATACTGTTTTATTTATTTATTTATTTATTCAATCTTTTTTGAGACAGAGTCTCACTCTGTTGCCCAGGCTGGAGAGCAGTGGTGCGATCTTCGCTCACTGCAAGCTCCGCCTCCCAGGTTCAAGCGATTCTCTTGCCTCAGCCTCCCAAGTAGCTGGGACTACAGGCACGTGCCACCACACCCAGCTAACTTTTTGTATTTTTAGTAGAGATGGGGTTTCACTATGTTAGCCAAAATGGTCTCGAACTCCTGACCTCCTGATCTGCCCGCCTCAGCCTCCCAAAGTGCTGGGATTACAGGTGTGAGCCACCATGCCCGGCCCAACAGTAAATCCTGTTTTCACTGTCTAAACAGGTAAACAAAACAAAAGGCTTGGCTTCTCCTGGAAGGAGAAATTACAAAAAGAACTTAATCAAAATACAGTATTTATATTCTTTTATCTCAAATGAATACCTCAAATGCTCTATAACTGTCTAATATTTACAAGTCACTAACACTGAATATATCAGAATTTAACCACCATTGCATTATGAGTCCTAATGTATTCAGATTTTTAAATCACAGTCAGGAAATTATTTCTGTATAGTAACAGGAGGGCTATGGGAATAGTAAGAATTTTGGTTTTAGAGATTTCCATTATTATTCCAATCTATATGGATAATTACAGTGTAAACATTTTGTTTAGTGCAAGTCTTTTCTCACCACGCCCACTGCCGCACACAAAGGCAATTCTGATGATGTCACAAAATAAATGAGTCAGCTGTCAGTATAACTTGGTTTTAGTCTGGATTTTTTTTTAATTGTATGGCTGGAAACTATGCTGAAATCCCTAAATTCTCTGAACCTCAGTTTTTTCACTATTAAATGATAGAATTAAAGTAATACTTAAGGGTCAATTTTATGCTAACTTCAATTAATTAATTCTTTACATAATTTAACAAATACTTACCTTGTACTTACTATTAGAAGGCACCATTTTAGGCACTGATAAGAGTAGTAAATTGGAAAACAAAAACAAAAACAAAAAGACTGTACCTTATCTCAAAGAATTAATGCATTCTAAATGTGTAAACAGACAAACGAATGTCAGATACCATACAATACAATAGGATACAATAGGATACAATACAATACAATACAATACAATACAATACAATACAATACAATACAATACAATACAATACAATACAATACAATACAATGTCAGATAGTGGTAAATGCTTGAAGCAAAACAAAGCAGGGTAATGCACTGAAAACTGATGTAGGCTAACACGAACAAGTGACATTTGTGCAGATAACTGAATGAAGTCTTTATTTTGAGGTAATTTTATTTGCAGTTGTGAAAAATAATACAAAAAACTTTATGTGCTATTTACCTAATTTTCTCCACCGGTTAAATCTTGCAGAACCGTAGTGTAATACAACTCAGCAATCTTTTTCAGTTTTCACCAATTTTGCATGTGCCAATTTGTGTGTGTTATCATGTACGTGCATATTTTGTTCTGTGCAATTTTATCTCGTGTAGTTGAGCACCAGACTCAAAATATAAAGTAGATCAATAACCAAAAGGATCATTTCTGTTGCTTTTAATAACTACACCTAATTTTCCCACTATCAATAAATGGAATTATAAACTATGTAAATTTTGAGGATTGGCTTTTTTTTTCACTCACCATAACTCAATGGAGACCAAGTTGTTGTAATTGTTCATTCTTTTTCTTTTTTTGTGGAATAGTGTCCTATAATATTATGTAACACAGTTTATTTGACATTCATCTATTGAAAAACATTTGAGCTCTTTCCAGTTTCGGGGAAATAAAGAGCAAAGTTAGTATCCAGTGGCATAAGTAAGATGGCATGTTAAAAAAGCCCCAGGCCCTTGCTACCCTCTAGAAACATCAAGTAAACCAAAACAGACTCATGAAAGTAACTTTGTGGGAGCTCTAAAATCCAGCCAAGAATCTGAAGCCTCCAAAAACAGTCAAGAAATCTTGCAGGTCACAAATCAATGGGATAATAATTTAATTTATAATTTATAATAAATTAGTTATGATATTAAAAAGAACTACAGCAACCTAAACAGGATGGTACTGATACAAAAACAGATACACAGGCCAATGGGACAGGTTAGGGTATCCAGAAATAAAGCCCCACACCTTCATCCATCTTATCTTTTACAAAATTTACAATAACAAGCAATACAAAAATGACTCCCTTTTCAATAAATGGTGCTGGAATAACAGGCCAGTCAGATGCATAAGATTGAAATTGGACCCCTTTCTTTCACCATATACAAAAACAACTCAAGATGGATTAAAGACTTAAATACCAAACCAAAAACTATAAAAACCCTAAAAGAAAACTTAGGAAATATCATTCTGGACATAGGCCCTGGCAAAGATTTCATGATGAATGCTCCAAAAGCAAATGAAACAAAAAGGAAACCTGACAAGTGGGACCTAATTAAACCAAAGAGCTTGTGCAAAGCAAAAGAAGAAACTATCCACAGAGTAAACAGACAACCTACAGAATGGGAGAAAATTTTTGCAAACTATGCATCTGAAAATGTTCCAATACCCTAGAGAACTTAAATTAACAAGCAAAAAACCAAACAGCCTCATGAAAAAAATGGGCAAAGGACATGAACAGACACTTCTGAAAGAAGAAATACAAGCAGCCAACAAGCATATGAAAACATGCTCAGCATCACTAATCATTAGAGAAATGCAAGTTAAAACCACAATGATATGCAATCTCATGGCAGTCAGAATGACTATTATTGATTGTCTGGGTGCAGTGGCTCATACCTGTATCCCCAGCACTTTGGGAGGCCAAGGCAGGCAGATCACCCAAGGTCAAGAGTTCGAGACCAGCTTGACAAACATGGTGAAACCCTGTCTCTACTAAAAATACAAAAATTAGCCAGGCTTGGTAGCAGTCGCCTGTAATCCCAGCTACTCGGGAGTCTGAGGCAGAAGAATTGCTTGAACACAGGAGGTGAAGGTTGTAGTGAGCCGAGATCATGCCACTGCACTCCAGCCTATTTGACAAGAGCAAAACCATCTCAAACAAAAAAAGACTATTATTAAAAAGTCAAAAAATAACAGATGCTGATGAGATTGCAGAGAAAAGGGAATACTTATACATTGCTTGTGAGAATGTAAGTTAGTTCAACCACTGTGAAAGCAGTTTGGAGATTTCTCAAAAAACTTAACACAGAACTAACACTTGACCCAGCAATGTCATTACTAAATATACACCCACAAGAACATAACTTATTTTACCATAGTGGTATATGCATGTGTATGTTTATCACAGCACTATTCATGATAGCAAAGACAAGGTATCATCATAGCATAGATGCCCATCAATAATAGACTAGATAAAGAAAATGTGGTACATATACACCATGAAATACTACACAGCCATGAGAAATGAAATCATGTTCTTTGCAGCAACATGGATGAAGCTGGAGGACATTATCCTAAAGAAATTAATGCAGTGGCATAAAACTAGATACCACATGTTCTCAACTAAACATTGCATACAAATGGACACTAAAAAGCTAACAATAGGCCGGGTGTGGTGACTCATGCTTGTAATCCCAGCACTTTGGGAGGCTGTGGTGGGTAGATCACGAGGTCAGGAGATTGAGACCACCCTGGCTAACACGGTGAAACCCTGTCTCCACTAAAAGTACAAAAAATTAGCTGGGTGTGGTGGCAGGCACCTGTAGTCCCAGCTACCCGGGAGGCTGAGGCAGGAGAACGGCATGAACCCAGGAGGCAGAGCTTGCAGTGAGATGAGATCACGCCACTGCACTCCAGCCTGGGCAACAGAGCGAGACTCCATCTCAAAAAAAAAAAAAAAAGCTAACAATAAACACTGGGACCTACTTTAGGGTGGAGGGTGGGAGGAAGTAAGCATAAAAAACTAACAAGTACTGTGCTCATTATCAAAGAAATAATCTGTACACCAAACCCCAGTGACATGCAAGTTACCCATGTAACAAACCTGCACATGTACCCACCGAATCTAAAATAAATGTTAAAAAGGAAAATGTGTCAAGGAGGCACAAAGGTGAAACAACTGGCTCTTTAACAAATGTTGTTGGGAAAATTGGATAGGTATGAACAAAAGAATGAAACTGGACCCCTACTTTACACCATAAACAAAAATCAACTCAACATAGATAAAGGTTTTTTACTTATTTCAAAGTTTCTAACAGAAACTTTAAAACTCCAAAAAGGAAACATAGAAGAAAGCCTCGGCACTGATATTGGCAATGGTTTCTTGGCTATAACACCAAAAGCATAGGCAACAAAAGCAAAAATAAGTGAAAATATAAAGGATTATAAATCATTCTATTATGAAGACACATGCACGTGTATGTGCATTGCAGCATGATTCACAATAGCAAAGACATGGAATTAACCTAAATGCCCATCGATGACATATTGGATAAAGGAAATATGGTACATATACACCATGGAATACTATGCAGCTATAAAAAAGAATGAGATCATGTTTTGGGGGGGACATGGATGGAGCTGGAGGCCATTATCCTTGGCAAACTAATGCAGGAACAGAAATCCAAATACCCCATGTTCTCACTTACAAGTGGGAGCTAAATGATGAGAACACACGGACACATAGAGGGGAACACCACACACTGGGGCCTATGGGAGGGTGGAAGGTGGAAGGAGGCAGAGGATCCAGAAAAATAACTAATGGATACTAGACTTAACACCTGGGTGGTGAAATAATCTCTACAACAAACCCCCATGACACATGATTACCTATGTAACAAACCTGCACAGTCTCCACATACACCCCTGAACATTGAAGATAAAAAAAAGAAGTGAAAATGTGTCAAACTAAAAAGCTCTGGACAGCAAAGGAAACAACAGAATAAAAATACAACCTACAGAAACAAAGAAAATATTTGTAACACATATATTTGAAAAGCGATTTATTTCCGAACTGTATGAAGATGTCCTACAACTTAACAGAAAATAATACTAACAATCCTATTAAAAATGAGCAAAGGGCTTAGATATTTCTCCAAAGAAGATATACAAATAGTAACAGGTAAAAGATGCTCAACATATTTAATATTCAGAAAAATGCAATTCAAAACTTCAATAAGATATAACCTCCCACTTGTTATGATGAGTATTAAAAAAAAAGATTGCAGAGAAATTGGAATTTTTGTACACCGATGATGGGAATGTTAAATGGTGCAGCCATTATGGAAAACAGTGTTGAAATGCCTCAAAAAATTAAAAATATAACTGTCACCTGATCCAACAATTTCACTTCTGGGTATACACCCAAAATTATTGGAATTAGGATGTTAAAGTGGTATCTGCACTCCAATGTTTATTGAAGCACTATTCATAATAGCCAAGATGTGGAAACAACCCAAATGTCCATTGACAGATGTATGAATAAAGAAAATTTGATATATACATACAATGGAATACTATTTGCTTTTTAAGAAGAAGAAATTCCTAGCACTTGCAACAACATGCATAAACCTCGGAGACATTATGCTAAGTGACATAAGCCAGTAACAGAAGGATAAATACTATATAATTCCACTTATATGATGTATCTAACATAGTCATACTCATAGCAGCAGAGAATATAATAGTGTTTGCCAGGTACTAGGGGGTATGGAAAATGAAGCATTGTTGCTCAATGGGTAATAGTGCCTATAGTTAACAATATGGTATTTTGAACTTCAAACTTTACTAATAAGGTATGCATTTTGTTCAGTGTTCTTACCACACCAAATAAAAGGAGCCCAAGGAAACTCATCAAATTGGACACATTAAATATGTGCAGTTCTTTGCATATGAATTATATCTCAATAATACTGTTACAAAAAAGACAGGAACCCATCTACCCAGTTCACTGTTGTATGTGGCACAGTTTCTACTACACAGTAGTGAATATTTGTAGTATGAAATAATGAGAGTTCTTTCAACCCATTGTTAAGTGTTCAACTGCAATAACAGTTGCCACATTAATACTATATGTTTGTCCATTCCACTACTGGTTTGATGTTTGAGGTTAGTTTTTTTTCAACTTTTTATTATGAAAATATTCAAACATATAGAAAGGTTGAAAAATAATATAATAACCATCTGAATATCAGTGATATAGATTAAAAAATTTTGTTAGATTTGCTTCATGTATAAATGTATGTATGCATATGTGTGTATGTAAGTGTGTATGGAGGCAGAGAGAGAGGAATCGTTTAATTTTGTTGTTATTGTTTTTTTGTTTGTTTGTTTGTTTGTTTGTTTTTGAGACAGAGTCTCACTCTGTGGCCCTGGCTGGAGTGTAGTGGTGTGATCTTGGCTCACTGTAGCCTTTGCCTCCTGGGTTCAAGGGATTCTCCTGCCTCAGCCCCCCGAGTAGCTGGGATTACAGGTGTGCCACCACGCCCAGATAATTTTTGTATTTTTAGTAGAGATGCGGTTTCACCATGTTGGCCAGGCTGGTCTCAAACTCCTGACCTCAAGTGATCTGCTCTCCTCAGCCTCCCAAAGTGCTGGGATTACAGGTAGGAGCCACTGCGCCCAGCCTGTTATTGTTTTGATTTGTTGTCATCTTCAGAATATTTTGAAAATAAGTTATAGACATCATCACATTTTAGCACTGAGTACAACAACATTCAATTCCTAAGAATGACATCATTCTCCCATACAACCAAAGTATCATAATTGATCCTAATAAAATTAACAATCTCCTATATTTAATATTCATCTTATATTAAAAAACCCTAATTGTTCCCTAAATGTCTTTTATATATGACCTTGTTTTGATCTAGGATTCAATCATGGATTGCAAATCGCATTGATTTTTTAAATATAATTTTACCTTTTATTTTATATTTGGGGGTATATGTACATGTTCATTACATGGGTATGTTGCATGATGTCGAAGTTTGGGGTACAACTGATTCTGTCAACCAGGTACTGATAATAGTAGCCAAGAGCTAGTTTTTCAACTCCTGCCTCCCTTCCTACCTCCCTCTTCTGTTAGTCACAGTGTCTATTGTTGCCTTATGTTCACAGGTACCCAATGTTTAACTCCCACTTAAAGTGAGAACATGTGGTATCTTGTTTTGTGTTTCTGCATTAATTTGCTCAGAATAATTCACTTGCATCCATATTGCTGCAAAAAGACATGGTTTCATTCTTCCTTATGGCTGCATAGTATTCCATAGTGTATATGTGCCACATTTTTTTTTTTCCAACCCACCATTGATGGACACTTGTGTTGATTCCATGTCTCTGCAATCTTTTAAATTTCAACTTTTGTTTTAGATACAGGGGGTACGTGTGCACGTTTGTTACATGAGGATATTGTGTGATGCTGAGGTTTGGCATATGGATCCCGCCACCCAGGTAGTGAGCACAGTACCAGATGGGTAGTTTTTCAATCTATGCTCCTCTTCCTTCCTCCCCCAAACTAGGAGTCCACAGTGTCTATCGTTCTCCTACTTATGTTTATGTGTGTTCAACGTTTGGTTCCCACTTATAAGTGAGAGCATGTGGTATTTGGTTTTCTGTTCCTACATTAATTTGTTTAGGATTATGGCCCCCAACTGTACCCATGTTGCTGCAAAAGACAATTTCATTCATTTTCATGGCTGTGTAGTATTCCATGCTGTATACATATCACATTTTCTTTATCCAATCTAGAGCTGATGGGACCTGGGTTGATTACATGAATAGCACAGCAATGATCATAATATAACTGCATATGTCTTTTCATAGAATAATTTATTTTCCTCTAGGTACATAATCACCAATGGGATTACTGGGTTTAATGGTAGCTCTGTTTTAGGTTCTTTGATAAATCTCCAGACTGCTTTCCACATAAGTTGAACTAATTTATATTCCCACCAAGCGATCCACAATGTATAGGTGTTTCCTGTCTATGCAGCCTTGCCAGTATTTGTTGCTTTTTGACTTTTTAATAGTAGCCATTATTTTTTCAAAGATGGAGGATTGGAGGCATTATTAGCATGCTTCTACCTCTTGGAAAAAAATACTGTGTAGAGATTCACATGGTTAACTTTGTTTTCAAGAAACAACACAGGAACTTAACAGGAAAACTGAAAGAAACCACAGACCCTTTGAAAGAAGCATTGGGCTGCAGCCTACACTGTGAGACAGGTAGAAAACTGTAAGTCCTCAGAGTGTGAAAGGGGGATAAACTGCCTCAGGATACACACTCCCACCAGGTAACCTGGCAATCCTGGCTACAGGGGAAGGCCTTAAACCTTACTCAGCACTGGAACTGATTTAATGAGTGGTGGGGAGTATATGAGAAGAACTGGCATCAGGACATGCTTTGTGTACATTCCCAGACTCCAGCAGAGACAGAGGGAAGCCATTTCTGATTCTACCTCACAAGGGACCTTGTAGAAATCTGCAGCCTAACTCAAATGGCAGTTACAGGTTGACAGAAGCTCCCACCTGAGATTAGTAATATAATCTTGACTGGGGATAAACTCCCTTGGATAGAACTGAGAGGTGAGTGGGAAGTGTGCTGCAGAAACAGGTGCAGAAACTGGGTGACCCTGCTTCATGCACAGATTGGGAGGGGTGTGGCCAGAAAGCCAGAGTTGCTCTCCCCACTGAGAAGGCTATGGCCTGGGGCAGTTTACAGTTCTGAGCAAGACTTTCTAGAATGTAGTGAGCTGCTACCAGTTGAATGCTGTAAGTTTGAGTCCTGCATTGCCAAGTGTCCATTACAACATATACAGGCACAATAACAGGGTACAGGAAAGAGAACACATGTGTCTGATCTTAGCTATCTGAATTGCCTGCATCACCCGGGATAACCATGAGGTCCTCATTTTTTGTGACAAGTTCATTATTACTACAACTGGTATTTGAGAAAGCCAATGCACTAAGGCTATTTATAACCAAGAAATCTCACAGTCTGTGTCACTCCGCTGTCACCCCAATCAGAGCTGGTACTGGTAGCCACTGCTGGGAATGTAGAGGACAATTAACATCACTGGACCACTTGCAGACATTCCACAGCACCAGCCTGAAGTGTAGCAACCTCACTTGGTGGCTAGACTTAGAGGGGCGCTAGCATTCATAGTAGTCTGTCCCTAAGGGATTATTAAACCTGAGGGAAGGAGTGTGCACCACATCAAGGAAGTATTCCATGGGACAAAATTATCCAGATGGCAGGACTTGAGTCCCAGAACATTCCACATGTGGGTCGTTTCTTTCAGCAGAGGCATAGGTACAGTGCTGGGTTAAGTGGGGAAATTCTGGCTCCACCCTAATAGTCAGGCAGTCCTGGTGTTCATGAAGTACATTGTATAAGGGTACTTATTTTTCCTCTCATCCATCACTGAAGACAAAGATGGGACTTCTTTCCTCAGGGATAGACATGGGTGCACCTCTAGACAGACTTTTAAAAACACATCAGGGTGACCGCATCTCCATAGGAGAAGTGCCCTTCAGGTTCAGGCTTAAATGAAGAGTAGATTCACAATACCTTTCTATATGAAACATCAGCATTCCTGCAAATGAAAACCGGGGCCGGTCTGCCCTGAGTTGCTGGAATGATGGGTTGGGAGTGTGACTGGAAGGTGGATTCCTTTCCTGCTTGCCTGTCGTGCAAGCTGAGGTGGCTTCTTCCCTTCCCTCTGATAAGACCTCAGTGCATTTCAGGGAGAGCTCCCCCAGCCACTTCTGTTAAGGCTTGAACCTCTGCCCACTATTGTGTATTGCATTCACAAACTTGCTTTAGCCACAACTGCTTCATACTTGTGGACAACCACCCCACTGGTCTGAAGTCTGAACTGATTTGTGTGCAAGCTCACTCTCTCCTGTGTGGTTGGAGCTGCAGAAATTTCTTGAAGCTTATCTTATACCCCAGTGGTGTGTACTTATTTATTTATTTCCCCCCAATGTTTTATTTACTATGTTGGACAGTTCAGACTTCAGGCCACTGGGGAAAAAGTAGATAAGTAAGTGCACACAGCATCTGAGAATGTCACCATGCAAAGACTCTATATAACCAAGGAACTCATACAGTCTTTACCCGTGAAAGCACACAGAACCAAATTAGCTTACAATAAACTATAAACATTAAAGTTGCATCTCAAGAGGAAATAATAAAAAATCACGGTCAAATAAAAAATAAACTAAAAATATTTAGAAGAAATGCACTGCCCAAATAAGATAGAAACAGAAAAATAATTTTGGCAATATGACAAAACAAGGTTTTATAACAGCTGCCAAAGATCACACTAGCTCTTCAGCAATTGATCAAAACAAAGATAAAATATTTGAAATACCAGATAAATAATTCAAAATGTTGATTATTAAGCTACTCAGAAAGACACAAGAGAGAGGTGAAAATGAACATAAATAAATTAAGGAAAATAATTCAGAATATGGGTGAAAAATTTTCTAAGGAGATAGGTATTTTAAAGGAAAACCAATCATAACTAATGCAGTTAAAAGACATATTTAGAAAATTATAAAATGCAGTGAAAAGTTCTAACAATAGACTAAACCAAATAGAAGAAAGAATTTCAGGCCTCAAAGACTAGGCTTTGAATTTACCCAGTCAGCCAATAATAATGAAACAAAAAATTAAAAGAAATAAATTTTCCAAGAAATATGAAAATATATGAAATGGCCAAATATAAGAATAACTGATGCTACTGAGGTAGAAGAAAATGCAAAAAGTTTGTAAAATTTATTTGAGAGAATAGTTGTAAACTACCCTAGCATTGTTAGAGATTTAAACATCCAAATACAAGAAGCTCAAATAATTCTTGGGAGAATTATTGCAAAGAAGACATCACCAAGGCATATAGTCATCAGGCTATCTAAAGTCAAATTGAATGATGGAATTGTAAGAGCAATGAGACAAAATTATTAAGTAACCTATAAAGGAAAACTACAGACTAATAACAGACATCTCAGCAGAAATCTTACAAGCCAAAAGATATTGGGGTCCTACCTTTAGCCACTTTATACAAAAAAAAGAAAAAAAAAAACCTGTCAGCCATGAATTTTGTACCCAGCAAAACTAAGTTTCATAAATGAAAATTGTATTTGTCCATTTTCATGCTGCTGATAAAGACATACCCAAGACTGGGAAGAAAAAGAGGTTTAATGGACTTACAGTTCCACATGACAGGAGAGGCCTCAAAACAATGGTGGAAGGCAAGGATGAGCAAGTCACATCTTTCACAGATGGTGGCAGGCAAAGAGGAAGACTTTGTGCAGAGGGAAACTCCTGTTTATAAAACTATCAGAGCTCATGGGATTTATTCACTATCCTGAGAACAGCATAGGAAAGGCCCACTCCCATAATTCAATTACCTTCCACCAGGTTCCTCCCATGACACATGGGAATTGTGGGAGTTACAATTCAAAATGAGATTTGGGTGGGGACACACCCAAACCATATCATTCTTTCCCTGGCCACTCAAAATCTCATGTCCTCACATTTTAAAACCAATCATGCTTTCCTAACAGTCCCCCAAAGCCTTAATGCATTTCAGCATTAACTCAAAAGTCCATAGTCCAAAATCTCATCTGAGACAAGTCAAGTCCATTCTGCCTATGAGCTTGTAAAATCAAAAACAAGCTAGTTACTTCCTAGATACAATGGGCATACAGGTATTGAGTAAATACAGCCATTGCAAATGGGAAAAATTCTCCAAAACAGAGGGGCTACTGGCTACATGAAAGTCCAATATCCAGAAGGGTAGTCAAATCTTAAAGCTCCAAAGTGATCTCCTTTGACTCCATGTCTCTTATCCAGGCCATACTGATGCAAAAGATAGGTTCCCATGGTTTTGGGCAGCTCCAGCCCTGTGGCTTTTCAGGATACAACCTCCCTCCCTGCTGCTTTCATGGGCTGGTGTGGATTGTCTGTGGCCTTTCTAGGAGTACAGTGACAGCTGTCAGTGGATATACCATTCTGGGGTCTGGAGGACAGTGGCCTGCTTCTCACAGCTCCATTTGATGGTGCCCCAGTAGGGACTCTATGTGGGGGCCCCAACCCCACATTTCCCTTCTGCACTGCCCTAGTAGAGGTTCTCCATGCAGGCCCTACCCCTGTAGCAAACTTTTGCCTGGGTATCCAGGCATTTCCATACATCCTCCAAAAACTAGGTAGAGGTTCCTAAACCCCAATTCTTGACTTCTGTGTACTTACAGGCTCAACACCATGTGCAAGTTGCCAAGGCTTAGTGCTTTCACCCTCTGAAGCCATGGCCTGAGCTCTATGTTTGCCCCTTTTAGCCATGGCTGGAATGGCTGGGATGCAGGGCAACAAGTCCCTAAGCAGCACACAGAATGGGGACCCTGGGCCTGGCCCACAAAACCACTTTTCCTCCTGGGCCTCTTGGGCCTGTAATGGGACAGTGTGCTGTGAAGACCTCTGACATGCCCTGGAGACATTTTCCCCATTGTCTTGGGGATTAACATTTGGATCCTCGTTACTTATGGAAATTTCTGCAGCCACCTTGAATTTCTCCTCAGAAAATGGGATTTTCTTTTCTATTGCATTTTCAGTCTGCAATTTTTTTGAACTTTTATGCTTTCCTTCCCTTATAAAACGGAATGCCTTCAACAGCACCCAAGTCACCTCTTGAAAGTTTTGCTGCTTAAAAATTTCTTCTCCCAAATACTCTAAATCATCTCTCTCAAGTTCAAAGTTTTACAAATCTCTAGGTCAGGAGCAAAGTGCTTCCAGTCCCTTTGCTAAAACATAACAAGGATCACCTTCGCTTTAGTTCCCAACAAGTTTCTCATCTCCATCTGAGACCACCTCATCCTGGATTTCATTATCCATATAATTATCAGCATTTTGGTCAAAGTTATTCAACAAGTCTCTAGAGAGTTCTAAACTTTTCCACATTTTCCTGTCTTCTTCTGAGCCCTCCAAACTGTTCCAACCTCTGCCTGTTACCCAGTTCCAAAGTTGCTTCCACATTTTTTGGGTATCTTTTCAGCAGTGCCCCACTCTACTGGTACCAGTTTCTATGTTAGTCCATTTTAAAACTCCTGATGAAGACATACCAAAGACTGAAAAGTAAAAGCGGTTTAATGGACTTGTGGTTCCACATTGCTGGGGAGGCCTCACAATCATGGCAGAAAGCAAGAATGAGCAACTCACATCTTACATGGATGGTTGCAGGCAAAGAGAGAGAGTTTCTGCAGGGAAACTCCCATTTTTAAAACCATCATCAGGTCTCATGAGACTTATTTACTATCACAAGAACTGCACAGGAGAGGCCCACCCCCATGATCCAATCAGCTTCCACCGGGTTCCTCCCACAACATGTGGGAATTGGGGGAGTTAAACTTCAAGATGAGATTTGGGTGGGGACACAGCCAAACCATATCAAAGGTGAAATAAAATATTTTTCAGACAAGCAAATGCTGAGGGAATTTGTCACTGACAGACGAGCACTACAAGAAATACTGAAAGTTCTAAAGCTTAAAACAAAAGGGTAATATGCACCAGAATAGAACTTCTTGAAAGCATAAAGCTCACAGAATTTTTAAAACAATAACATAATGAAGAAAAATAAAATTTTAGATAACAATCAACATGATGATTGGAACAGTACCTCATATCTCAATATTTATATTGAATGTAAATGGTCAAAATGCTGCACTTAAAAGATGCAGATTGGCAGAATTAATAAAAATAAATTACAAACCAAATATTGTCTGTCTCTAGTTCACTCACCTAGCACTGTACCAAGGAAAAAAGATATTCCGTGCAAATAGAAACCAAAAGTAAGTAGGAGTAGCTATAGTTAAAAAAAGAAGACAAAGAACGTCATCAAACAATAAGAGTATTAATATGACAAGAAGATATTACAATTTATATATAAATGGACCCAATTCTAAAGCTCCCAGATTCATAAAACAATTATGACTAGACATAATAAAGGATATGGAAAGCAAAACAATAATGGGGGGGACTTTAACGGTCCATTGACAGCACTAGACAGATCACTGAGGCCAAAAGTCAATAAAGAAATACTAGACTTAAACTGCACTCTAGAAAAAAATGAGCCTAAAGTACATTTACAGAACATTCCACTGAATAACTGCAGCATATACATTCTTCTCATCAGCTCATGGAACATTCTTCAGGATAGACCTTATAATAGGCAACAACAGTCTCAATGTATTTTTAAAAATCAAAATTATATCAAGTATATTCTTAGACCAAAGTGAAATAAAACTAAAAATCAATTTCAAAAGGATTCTTCAAAGTGACACAAATACATGGAAATTAAGGAATCTTCTCCTAAATAATTTTTGAGTTAATCATAAAATCAAGATGGAAATTTTTAAAAATTTCAAAGTGGATGATAACAGTGATACAAGTTATAAAAATCTCTGGGACACAGGAAAATTAGCACTACGAGGAAAATGTATAGCACTGAATGCCTACATCAAAAAGTCTGAAATAGCTCACATTGATAGCCTAACATCACACCTCAAGAATTAGAAAAACAAGAACAAACTAAACCTTGTGCTAGCAGAGGAAGAAATAATAGAAATCGCAACAGAAGTAAATCAAATTGAAACAAAAAACATAAAAGAGCAATGAAACAAAAAGTGGGTTCTTTGAAAATATAAATAAAATCAATAGATCATTAGCTAAATTAACCAAGAAAAGAAGGGAGAAGATTAAAATTAATTCAATTAGAGATTAAAATGGAGACATTATAACTGATACCACTAAAATACAAAAGATTATTTGAGACTACTATGAACAGCTCTATGCACACAAACTAAAAAATTCAGAGAAAATGAATGAATTCCTGGAAACACACAGAACCCCTGAAGCCTGAATCAGGATTAAATAGCAATCTGGGACAGAACAATAAAAAACAGTAAAATTCAACCAGTAATAAAAAAAAAGTCAACAAAATAAAACCCAAGGCCAGAAAGATGCACAGCAGATATTCTATCAGACATTTAAAGAAGAATTGGTACCAATTCTGCTGAATCTATTCCAAAAGATAGAGAAAGAGGGAATGGTTTCTAATTTATTATAAAAACCAGTATTACTCTAATACCAAAACAAGGAAAGGACATAACAAACAAACAAACAAAGGAACTACAGACCAATATCTCTGATGAATAGAGATGGAAAACAAAAACAAAAACAAAAACCCAAACAAATACTGGCAAACCAAATCCAACAGCACATCAGATAATTCACCATGATTAAGTGGGTTTTATTCCAGGGAAGCAGGGATGGTTCAACATATGCAATTCAATAAATGTCAACATTACATTAACAGAATTATAAACTAAAGCCATATGATTATCTCAATAGATGCAGGAAAAGCATTCAATAAAATCCAGCATCCCTTTATAGTAAAAACCTTCAACAAGGTAGACACAGAAAGGACATTCCTCAAAATACTGGAAGCCATTATGACAAACACACAGCCAACATCATACCAAATCCAAATAGGAAAATGTTGAAAGCATTAGCCCTAAGAACTGGAAAAAGACTACAATGCTCACTTTTATTACTTGTATTCAACAAAGAACTGGAAGTCCTAGGCAAAGCAACCAGGTAAGAGAAAGAAATGAAGGGCATTCATATTGGAAAAAGAAAGTTAAACTATCTCTGTTTGCTGATGGTATGATTATATACCTAGAAAACCCTAAATCCTCAACCAAAAGATGCCTAGATTTGATAAATCAATTCAGTAAAGTCTCAGGTTATAAAATCGATGTGTACAAAATGCACTGCTATACCTCAACAATGTCCAAGCTGAGAATCAAATCAAGAGCTCAGTCCCTTTTACAATAGCTGTAAGAAAAATAAGATAACTAGAAATATACTTAACTAAGGAGGTGAAAGATCTCTACATGGAGAACTACAAAATACTGCAGAAAGAAATCATAGATGACACAAGCAAATAGAAATAAAGATGACATGAACAAATAGAAATACATCCCATGCTTATTAATTGGAAGGATCAATATTGTCAAAATGAGCATACTGACCAAAGCAATCCATAGAATCAATGCAATTCCTATCAAAACACCAATATCATTTTTTATGGAATTCAAAAAAACATTTCAAAAATTCTATAATATGGTTTGGCTCTGTGGCCCCACCCAAATCTCATGTTGCCTTGTAATCCCCAGTGTTGGGGGAGGGACCTGGTGAGAGGTGATTGGATCATGGAGGCAGATTTTTCCCTTGCTGTTTTTGTGATAGTGAATGAATTCTCACAAGATTTGGTTGCTTGAAAGAGTGTAGCACTTCCCCCTTTGCTGTCTCTCCTAGTGGCCATGTGAAGATGTCCAGGATTCCCCTTCACCTTCTGCCATTATTGTAGTTTCCTGAGTCCTCCCCCAAAGCAGAAGCCTGAACAGCCTGCAGAACTATAAGCCAATTAAACCTCTTTTTTTAGTTTCAGGCATTTCTTTACAGCTGTGTGAGAAAGGACTAATATAGTATGAAACAAACAAAAAAGCCTGAATAGCCAAAGCAATCCTAAGCAAAAAGTACAAATCTGAAAGCATCACATGACCCAACTTCAAATTATACTACAAAGCTAGCATATCCAAAACAGCATTGTACTGGCATAAATGTAGATATATAGACCAATGTAATAGAAGAGACAACTCAGAAATAAAGCCAAATACTTACAACCAACTCATCTTTAACAAAGCAGACAAAAATATATATTGGAGAAAGGACATGCTATTCAATAAATGGTGCTGGGAAAACTGGATAGCCACATGCAGAAGAATAAGACTGAATTCCAATCCCTTACGGTCTACAAAAATCAACTCAAGATGAATGAAAGACTTAAATCTAAGGCACAAAACAATAACAATTTTAGAAGAGAAACTAGAAAAACACTTTTGTACGTTGGCCTAGGCAAATAATTTATAACTAAAAATCCAAAAGCAAATGCAACAAAAAGAAAAATACATGGCACCTAATTAAAAATCTTCTGTACAGCAAAAGAAATAGTCGTCATAGTAAACAGACAGCCCACAGAATGGAAGAAAATATTTGCAAACTATGCATCTGGCAAAGAACTAATGTCAGGAGTCTACAAGAAACCCAAACAAATAAGCAAGAAAAAAATGATTCTATCAAACAGTGGGCAAATAACACAAATACACATTTCTCCAAAGAAGAATATCACTAATCATCAGGGAAATGCAAATTAAAATCACAGTGAGATATCACCTTAACCCAGTGAGAATTAAAAGACCATGATTAAACAGTCAAAAAACAATAGGTGTTGGTGTGGATGGAGTGAAAAGGGAAAACTTAAACACTGCTGGTGTAAATGTAAATAAGTATAAACTCTATGCAAAACAGCACCAGGGATTTCTCAAAGAACTAAAATTAGACCTACCATTCGATCCAGCAATCCCACTGGTGGGTATCTACCTAAAGGAAAATAAGTCATTATATAAAAAAGACCCCTGCATATGTATGTTTATCACAGCACAATTTACAATTGCGAAGATATGAATCCAACCTACGTGCCTATCAATGGATGGGGGAATAAAGAATATAGGGTATGCATACACCATGGAATACTACTCAACCATAAAAAGGAACAAAATAATGTCTTTTATAGCAAATTGGAAGTAGCTTTAAACCATTATTCTAAGTGAAGTAACTAAAAAGGTGAAACCAAATGTTACATGTTCTCACAAGTAGGAGGTAAGTAAGCTCTCTGGGTACAAAAAGGCTTGCAGAGTGGTATAATAAATGTAAGAGACTCAGAAGAAGTGAAGTTGGGAGGGGGTGGAGTATAAGAAACTATACATTGGGTAGACTGTACACTACTTGGGTGTTGGGTGCACTAAAATTTTGGACATCACCACTGTACAATTCCCTCGTATAATGAAAACCACATGTACACCCAAAGATATTGAAACAAAAAATTAGAAAATAATAGTACTCATTGTGACTGGTGTGAAGAAAGTATCAGATTGCAGTTTTGATGTGAATTTTTCTGATGATTCATGATTTTTAACATCACTAAGCATTATCAAGGGGTTTGTTAATGATCATAAAAATCAAGGGCTCGGCCGGGCGCGGTGGATCATGCCTGTAATCCCAGCACTTTGGGAGGCTGAGGCGGGCAGATCACGAGGTCAGGAGATCGAGACCATCCTGGCCAACATGGTGAAACCCCGTCTCTACTAAAAATACAAAAAATTAGCCAGGCATGGTGGCGGGCACCTGTAGTCCCAGCTACTCGGGATGCTGAGGCAGGAGAATGGCGTGAACCCAGGAGGCAGAGCTTGCAGTGAGCCGAGATCGCACCACAGGACTCCAGCCTGGGCCACAGAGTCCTGTGTCTTCTTTTGAGAAATGTCTTGTGTGTCTTCTTTTGAGAAATGTCTGTTCATTTATTCTGGTCATTTTAAAGGGGATGTTTGCGTTTGCTTGTTGAATTGGTTAAGTTTCTTATAGATTCTGGATATTAGACCTTTTTCAAATGCATAGTTTCCAAATATCTTATTCTATTATGTAGGTTTTCTGTTGGTAGACTCTGTTGATACTTTATTTTGCTGTGCAGAAGCTCTTTAGTTTAATTAGGTCTCACTTGTCATATTTTGTTTTAGTTCATTTCATTGATTATTATGATTCTTTAGGATATTTTACTATGTTAGACTGTCTCCACCTTCTTCTTTCAAGGCACTGACTTTTAGAAGACCTGATCTTCTCAAATGTTCATAAAAATGCTTTTTAATGTATGATGCTGGAATTATTTTACTTTTTGCCCACAGCATAATTTCAAACCATCCCTTCTATCTTCAAATTATGCCAACTTCTTGCTCCTCCACTCTTGGTAGATGACTTACCTGTTTATTTTCCTGCTAATGGTTTTGTGTTGTCATTGTTTTATTTTTATTCGCTACTTGTCTTTTTACCAGTGCCAGATTCAGTATTGTTTTCTAGGGTCCTATCCTGTAGAGTTTCTGCGTAGGGTTTGTAGTCATGCACCTTAAAAAAGTGAATGAATTGAAGTTTATCTTTGGCGCTCATAGTCTATTGAGTCTATTAGCAAAAACAATAATTATCAAGGTTTAGAGTTTCTTCTACCTGATGTGTAAATCATCATTTGTAATAAGTTTAACTGAACTCAACAAACATATATTGAGCACCTATGATACCTGTCCTATTTATGCAATTTTCTGATTAGAACAAGGCACATCTTTAAAGTGCTCAGTGACAAAATGGCTTAACTAACAAGAAGTGCAAAGACTATAGGACGAGAAGAAAAGAAAACAAATCTCAGTTTAAGCAGTTAGCAGAGGAGTTTGCACTGAAAATACTGGTGCATTGTCTGATCTTCAAGCCAATCATCAATGAAGGACAGGCAAAAAAGTCAAAAAGAATAGCACACCACTTCTCTCCAGTTAAAGTAATCTACTCAAATTGACCCAACAGAGATACATTATTTAATTTAAAAATGATAATATCTGTTCACTTTATTCATCTAGCTGTATAATGAAACCAGTTATTCCACTAATAAGACTGACATTACTAAACAAGCTCCCAAGCACAGATGATGCACAGATAATGACACATAATAGTTATCCAGATGTTTCAAGAATTACCAGAACTCCACTTCATATCAAAGACTAGTGAGGTGTTTTGTTTGGATTTGTACCCAAATGAAAACAAAATTATCTTGATTTAAAAGAAACTGGAGGCCAAGTGAGGTGACTCACCCCTGTAATCTCAGCACTTTTGGAAGTCGAGGTGGGGAGATAATTTGAGTTCAGGAGGGGGAGACTAGCCTCACCAACATGGTGAAACCCCGTCTCTACTAATAATACAGAAAAAAAAAATAGCCAGGAATGGTGGTGTATGCCTGTAGTCCCAGCTACTCTGGAGGTTGAGGCAGGAGAATTGTTTGAATCCAGGAGGCGGAGGTTGCAGTGAGCCGAGATCGCACCACTGCACCCCAGCCTGGGCGACGGAGTGAGACTATGTCTCAAAAATAAATAAATAAATAAATAAATAAATAAATAAATAAATAAATTAATTAATTAAACTAGAGTTGGTGTTATGATTTGCCATATATTTCAGTGGTAAGTTGCAGGTGCATAGGTGTAAGTCCCAGTCTTTGTCATATCTACAGTCACACTCAAATCCAAATTTCTCTGCAAGGGAAAATGTGGCAGTTGTGTTAAATGATATCTTCTGCTCTAATGTCCAGGATAAACACAACATGAGACTCTTCTCTGGCTGATCTGTAAAATGAGATCACTAAGGTTCAAATGGCTGAAGGTGTGAATAAATAGTATGTCATGTTTGCAACACGTTAAAATTATAAAAAGTATGTTTATTCTACTCACCAGTGACCAGTTGTAAAATTGATGGCAAATTTGCCATGACATTTTTTTTAGTCTCACTTTTTGGATTTTCTTTGTTTTATTTACTATCTTCTTGTCTTGGTAATATATCTTTGGAACAATTTCCAGTTTGGGAAATAAGTCCTTCCAAGCAAAAAACCCCAACACTTTCAAATACAAAGTTATTTTTTTGGTCAGACTTTTTTCTAAAGCAGTTAAATACTGTAAGCACTTATTGTTAAGCTGGTAGATTAACTTGACTGTAATTCAGCAGTTTAAATTAAGATGCCAATACTGTGTTTGAAATATGTAATTTTTTTTTTTTTGAGACGGAGTTTCGTTCTTGTTGCCCAGGCTGGAGTGCAATGGTGCGATCTCCACTCACCGGAACCTCCGCCTCCCGGATTCAAGCAATTCTCCTGCCTCAGCCTCCTGAGTAGCTGGGATTACAGGCATGCACCACCACACCTGGCTAATTTTGTATTTTTAGTAGAGACGGGGTTTCTCCATGTTGGTCAGGCTGGTCTTGAACTCCCGACCTCAGGTGATCCATGCTCCTCAGCCTCCCAAAGTGCTGGGATTACAGGCATGAGCCACCGCGCCCGGCTTTGTTATTGATTTTTATGGGTGTTTTATAAAGGATTGATAAGTTACTTTTTCAAAAATCACAAATGCATATGTGCAATCCAACCTTTAAATATCCTCAGTGATTAGGTTGTATTGTCTTCTTTGAATTACAACTTTTCTGTTTATGTCTCTGTCCATTGATTTCCATAAATCCCGTACCTACCTCATAGGTGGTAAATGATTTTGTTTTTAATATCTCTTTTCAGTTTTTCTGTATGCAAATACAAATAAATATGATTATATATCATATTCTTATCCCACCTTTTTATTACACAAATATTTGTGTGCAATGTACCTATTTTCTCACCTTGCATTTTTTTTTTCAGTTGCAAGATTTAATAGAGTGAAATAGAGTGAAAACAGAGCTCCCATACAAAGGGAGGGGACCCAAAGGGGGTTGCTGTTGCTGGCCAGAATGCCTGGGTTTATATCCCGATCCTTGTCCCTCCAGCTGTGCTCTCAGGCAATAGATGATTGGCTATTTCTTTACCTCCTGTTTTTGCCTAATTAGCATTTTAGTGAGCTCTCTGATTGGTTGGGTGTGAGCTAAGTTGCAAGCCCCATGTTTAAAGGTGGGTGTGGTCACCTTCCCAGCTAGGCTTAGGGATTCTTAGTTGGCCTAGGAAATCCAGCTAGTCCTGTCTCTCAGTACCCCCTCTCAACAGGAAAACCCAAGTGCTGTTGGGGAAGTTGGCTGATGACTGCTCTAACTGCTTCCTGCTGAATTGGGGCATAGTAGGGGTTGTGCAGTTGAGATTTCCTCGGGAGGGGTGCCTTCGATGCCATTAACACTGGAGCATGGGCTAGCAGGCTGGTCCAGGGATCCGCGGTGGGTCTTAGTCATGGACTGCATCTGGGGCTCCATTTGAAGAACCATTTGTAGTTTTACAGTTTCAATTCTGGAAGAGACAAACTTAACAAGGAGGTTAAAGATACAGGGATTGAAATGTATGGCCTGCAGTGCAGGGGATTACTTCTTCAGCACACTTTATAGGCCCTGACTATCTGCTTGGTAGCTTTGAAAGGCCTGGTCCAGTAAATAATAATTTGGCCATCTGATGGGTGCTATCAATGCCTAAGTGAAAGGTTTGGTGAAGGGTTTTAAGTAATTTCCATTGGTTAGCTGCAGGCATAAGTATTTTTCCTTCTTCGGTGGCTGGCCATCCTGAGGGGAGGAAACTATGTCTTCATGAGTTTCCTCATTCTATTTCTTCTTCTGAGTACTGGGGCTTGGTTTCCTGGAGGGGATTACCCCATACTAAGGGTCCTTCTATAAGCATTTCTAATGGAGAGTCCTGCCTTGTGGCTCTTTTGGCTTCAATATCCGCTTGGTGGTTCCTTCCTATTTCCTTTTCCTTTCCTTTCTGGTGACCCGGGCAGTGTAAGACTGTCACTTCTTTAGGTTTCTGTACAGCTAGTAGTAATCTCCTAATGGCTTCCTGATGTTTGATAGGTGTTTCCTTGGAAGTTAGGAATTCCCTTTCTCTCCATATTGCTTCCTTGGCATGGAGGACTAGGTAAGCATACTTAGAGTCTGTATATATATTTACACTTTTCCCTTCTCCTAATTCTAGTGCCCGAGTGAGGGCTATTAGTTCTGCCAGCTGAGCACTAGTTCCTGGAGTGAGGGGATTACTTTCAAGTATTACATTATTACTGACCACTGCATACCCCACTTTTCAGGTCCTTTTCCTAAAAAGGAACTTCCATCAGTATACAAGTTGAGGTCAGGATCAGTCAAGGGAAACTCTAAAAATCCCCTTGAGTGGCGTTGGTTTGAACAATTACTTGTTGACAGTTATGTTCTTTCTTTTCTTCATTGTCTGGAAGAAATGTGGCTGGGTTAAGAGTTGCACAAGTGCGCAGTTGCAGCACTGGCCCTTCAAGTAATAGAGCCTGATATTTAAGTAAACGGTTGTCTGACATCCACAAGTCTCCTTTAGCAGTGAGTATGCTGTTCACATCATGAGATGTCCACAGAGTAAGATCTCCTGTATTATTTTAACTGCTTCAGATACTAAGACTGCTACTGCTGTCACTACCCGTAAACAATGAGGCCAACCCTTTGCTACTACATCATTTTCTTTATTCAGGTATGCCACAGGTTGCAAGCTCGTCCCTCGGACCTGTATAAGGACTCCTAGAGCTATTCCTTTTTCTTCTGTGACATATAAAGAAAAGTCTTGCCCTGTTGGCAAGCTTAACACTGGGGCTTGGGTTAGGGCCTTCTTTAGGGTATGGAAAGCTGCTTCTGCTTCAGGTGTCCATCTTACTAAATGGGTATTGGCTTTCTGAGTTTCCTTAATTAGTGTATATAATGGCCTGGCTATTTTGCTGTACCTGGGAATCCACATTTGGCAGAAGCCTGTTATGCCAAGGAATGCTCTTAGTTGCTTTAGGGTTCTGGGATGAGGATAAGCCAGTTTAGGCTGGATACATTCCTCACTGAGGGCCGTGGTGCCTTTGGATAATTTTAGCCCTAAGTACTTAACCTGCTGTGAGCAGAGCTGAGCCTTTCGTTTGGAAACCTTGTAGCCACAGGTAGTGAGGAAATTTAAGAGCACTTGGGTGGCTTGATGGCACAAGGTTTCTGAATGGGTGGCTAAAATTAAATCATCCCCATACCAAAGGACAAGAGTGTCCATGTATGAGAATTGGCTCAAGTCTTGGGCTAATGCCTGGCCAAATAGATGGGGGCTATCCTTGAACCCTTGGGGTAAAACAGTCCAGGTGAGTTGAGACGTTGGGTTTGAAGGATCTTCAAAGGCAAACAAGAATTGAGAGTCAGGATGTACAGGGATGCAGAAAAAGGCATCCTTAACGTCCAGGACTGTAAACCACTCTGCTTCCTCTGGTATTTGGGAAAGCAGAGTATAAGGGCTAGGTACAGCTGGGTATAGAGAAACAACAGCCTCACTGATAATCCTGAGATCTTGCACTAACCTCTACTATCCGTTGGGCTTCTGTACTCCTAAAATTGGAGTATTGCAGGGGCTATTGCATGCTTTTACTAGGCCTTGGGCTTTTAGGTCCTTAACAAACTTTTGGAGTCCTGTTGGGCCTCGAGTCTGAGGGGGTAGGGAAAGGAGGCAGAATCCTTTAGTTTAACTTGAACAGGACGGGCATTCTTTGCTCATCTATGTTGTCCTTCTGTTGCCTAGACTTTAGGATTAATTCCTTCCTCAAGCAGGGGACAACAAATGGGTGTTCCTTCTCCTATGTTCAGGTGTATAATGGCGCCTGCTTTTGCTAGAATGTCTCTCCCTAACAAGGGAATGGGGCTTTCAGGCATAATTAGAAAAGCATATGAAAAGAGTAAAGCTCCTCAGTCACAGCTTAGTGCCTGGGAGTAGTATCTAGTGACTGGCTGTCCTAGGACCCCTAGGATAGTGACAGATCTGGAGGACAGTTGTCTGGGACAGGAGAGTAAGACTGAGAAGGCCACGCCAGTGTCTAGGAGACAGTTAACCTAATGGCCCTCAATGTTCAAGCATATCTGGGGCTCTGTGAGGGTGATGGCATGGGCTGGCACTTGCCCCAGGCACCCTCAGTCCTGCTGCTGCATCATCTGGTTAGTGGCTTCTGACTCAGAGGACCTTCATCCCCTGGGGCAGTGGGCCTTCCAGTGATTCCTTTGACATAAGGGGCATGGACGAGAGGGCAGCTTACTTCTACTTGGACAATCTTTTTTAAAGTATCCTTGTAGACCACACTGGAAGCAAGCCCTAGTAGTCATTCTATTTTCCCAGCTTTTCCCTTTTCCAGAGCCTCCAAGGCCGCTTGCCTGAGGGCCATGACTAAAGTGGTGGTCTTTTTTTTTATCCCATTTGTCCCATTCCGCCTGCTCCTACTGATCTCTATTATAAAAAACTGAGGTTGCTAAGTTCAATAGGGTTTCTACGTTTTGCTCTGGGCCTAAGGCAGACTTCTGAAGTTTTTTTCTAATGTGATAAACTTATCCTTTAAGATTAGTTGGCCTTCAATAGAGTCAGGCGACAGAGAGGTATGCTTCCTTCATGCCTCCCTTAGTCTCTCCAGAAAGGCAGTAGGATTTTCTTCCTTTCCCTGTGTTATAGTGGACATCACTGAATAATTCATAGTCTTCCTAGTTTTCCTTAGTCCTTCTAGCATGCAAGTTAGCAAATGTCTGCGGCACCAATCTCCATGTTCTGATTCTGTATCCCAGTGAGGGTCTACACTGAGAATTGCCTGCTGGCCTGTGGGGAATCATTCTCTTTCCTCTGTTGTCATCCTATCATTGACCTAACTGAGATACCAGAGATCGCCAAACTCTCAGGCTGCAGTTATGGTGGCACTTCTCTCATTTGGGGTTAGTGTCTGATTTAGCAGTAACATTATATCTCTCCATGTCAGATCAAACGATTGTCCTACCCTTGTAAAACATCAATATAGCCGTCAGAGTTATCTGAGAATTTACCTAGGTCTATTTTAATTTGCTTTAAGTCTGAGAGAGAAAAAGGTACATGCACTCTGGCTGGGCCGAATTCTCCTCCTCCCACTGCTTGGAGGGGGCTTAATCGGGGAATATTGGCACTGTTTGGTTCATTGTTTATCCTTTTGTCTATCTCCTTTAGACCATTTGGGTAAAAGGGGGGTCCTTATTAGTTGGGGAAGGAGTTGGGGGGACACTGGGATAGGGAGGTAGACTCTGAGGGCTTCCTGTAGGGCATAAACCACACTTTTTACATAATTATGAGTTGTCTCTTAATGAAAAGAAAGTTTGCACATATGGCACTTCACTCCATTTGCCCTCCTTTCTACAGAAGAGATCTAGCTGTAAGATGGTGTTATAATTTACACTTCCCTCAGGAGGCCAAGTTTCTCCCCTGGAAGAGGATATCATGGCCAGGCAGTACTGCAGAAGAATCTGTCATTTCTTTCTTAGCGCCTGAGGGTCAAATTGGTCCTAATTCTCCAGAATATATCTTAGGGGCATTTTTGCCTTGGGGTGGGGGGAACGTTTACCATCTGAAAAAAGAACATATGGATGCCAGCACCCCTAGTCATTTTCCGATGAGCATTAGTCCTAGAGCATCCTCTAAGGGCCTAATGCTTATTCTTTTCCAGCGTGCGTAACCACCCGTGGACCTCTGCTTATAGGATTAGTTACGCTCACTGATATAGCAGTCCTGCACCTATTTTCCCGCCTCTCTTGACCACAAAGAAAGGGGTCTGGGCTGCTGGACTCTAGTGGTCCTTTACCAGCGTGCCCAACATTGCCTTTGCACTCAGGGGTGAGTCCTAGAGCTGGGCTGGGTTCCTGAGTATTTCATAACAACTCAGCTGCCCCATCAAGATGCATTCCCAAAAACAATAGTTCTTATGAAAATTCATTCCAGAGAGGGTGTAGTGAACCTTTTGAGTCAGGATTGAGATAGTCTTTTGATTCTGTAAGTACTTTAAGGCTTGGCTGAGTGCAAACAGCTCGTACATTTGAGGAGACCAATTATTAAGCAATTTTTCTAACTCTGCTTCCTCAAGAGTCTCCATATCAATTACTGAATACCCACTGTGGTTTTTTCCTCAATCACCTGGGAGGAACTATCTATTGTACTGTCCTGAGGGGAGTTCCTCCTAGGTCTGGTCGGACCTTTGTATGGTAATTAAGATTTAAATTCCCTGTTAGGAAATCTGCTGGGTTAAGGGAATTATCAGTGGTTGGAGTTACATTACCCTTTTCTAATATAATAGCCCTATACTTTAAGATTTTTGAGTTAGTAAGCTACTTTTTGCATTTTTTTATTTGACTTAGAATAATTCTGAACTGGTGAGGTGTGCTCACAATGAGGTTTCCTCTAAAAGTTACTTTTCTACTTTTAGCAAAGCAGTTGCCGCTACTGACTGAATGCATTTGGCCCATCCGCGGGTTACTGGGTTAAGGATTTTTGATAGGAAAGCTATGGGTTGTCAGTGGCCTCAGTGCTTTCGGGCTACACTCTTATTTACACTGACAACAAAGTGGCATTGGAGTGTTACAGGGTCACGGAGAAGACCTTCAATTATCAATCACAGGTTTTAAATTTACCCTGGCTTTTAAAGGAATAGGGCACACTTTTTTTTTTTTTTTTTTTTTTTTTTTTTTTTTTTTTTTTACTATTTCTATCTTTTTCTTTCTTTCTCTTTGACTCCTTCTTTGTCTCTCTCTCTGTCTCTCTCTCTCTCCATCTCTCTCTCTCTCCATCTCTCTCCATCTCTCTCTCCATCTCTCTCTCTCTCCATCTCTCTCTCTCTCCATCTCTCTCTCCATCTCTCTCTTAGCCATTACAAACTTAGGGCCCTGGCAAGGGTGGTGGGGAACGGGTCCCACATAACTGCCCATGTCGAGAGCTGTATACTTAAATTGAGAAGGACACCAGGGATAAGACTCCCTGGGTTATAGCCTAGATGCCCAAGGACACAGCATAGAGCTTCCTTAGATCCCTTTGGAGATACAACTTGCAAGAGGAAATGAAAGTCTGGACCATTAGTACCTAGGAGACAGAGATCAGAGGAAGTAGATTCAGAGATAAGGAGAATTTTGGGGCTACAGTTTCAAAAAGTCATTGTTGGGACCCAGGAGGTATGGGTCAGAAGGAAAGGTAGGGGTGCATGCATGGGTGACTGTTGAGTAGAGACTTCTGGCTGCGCCATGATCTCAACCGGCTACTGCCAGGAGTTCAGGATGACAGCTTTCTGCCTCTAGTCAGCCCTTGGCTTCCCCAAGAAAATTGAAAGTGGAAGCTGGCTCCACCCAGACCAACGTCCCCAACCCAGAAGGGTTGGGGGTTTTTAGAAAGTGCTTCCCCAGATAGCCTCGCACCTGAGTCTTAAGTACTGCAGCCATGCTAATCGTTTTTAACTGGCCGACAGGTGCCCAGTATTTTCCTCCAATTCTAAGGAAGGATAGGACAGAATAGCAGCGAAAGTGGTCCAATATTACTCACCACTTTGGAGGTCCCTTTGTGATCGCCAAAATGTTACCGGGGGTCCTTGCTCACAGAGCTCCCAAGATGGTGGCGAGCCACTTCCAAGATGGCGGTGGGCCACTTCCAAGATGGTGGCAAGCCTCGTGTTCTCTGACCTGGGGTTCTTGGCCTCACGGATTCCAAGGAATGGAATCTTGGGCCATGTGATGAGTGTTACAGCTCTATTAGAAGCTGTGGGTCATGCAAGAGAACCATGGAAACCAGTGACTAATGTTCAGCTCGATTAGGATGAACCTAGGCACTTAGCCATGCAGAAACAATGGCAAACCTTTAGCAAAATTGGGAGTGGCAATGGGAGTCTTGCTGGATCAGGAGAACAGCAGACACCCTGCTGGATCTGGAGGCATGGGAGTCAGTGGCAGGATGGGAGCCAGCAGTGGATCTGTGACAGTGGCAAACAGCAGTGGTGGACGGCAAGCAAAAGCTCAGCTCAAGCCATAACAAACATGGACAAGAAGAGTGCAGTTGTGAGATTTAATAGAGTGAAATAGAGTAAAAACAGAGCTCCCATACAAAGGGAGGGGACCCAAAGGGTGTTGCCCGCATTTTTTACTTAATATATTCCTGAGATCTTTCTGAATTGGTGCCTAGAAAAATATCTTATTCTTTTATTTTTACATATGCATATTACTCCATTGTATGGATGAGCCATAGTTTATTCATAATTTACTAAACCAGTCCCCTTTATATGGATACATAGGTTTCTAGCTTTTTGCTATTAGAACCTCTGTTAAATGAACTAACATATATATATAACAAACATATATATAACTTGTTTATAAATGTATATGTGATTAATTTCTTGAAGTATATTTCCTAAATAAAATGAAATTTGCATCTTTTTCCATAATGTGTGTATGTATTATGGGAAACATGAATAATTTTGGTACAGATATACATGTGTAATAATTGCATCAAGTTAAATGGGGTATCCATGACCTCAAGCATTTCTCATTATTTGCATTATGAACATTCCAATTATACTCTTTTACTTTACAATATACAATTAATTACTGTTGGCTGTAGTCACCCTGTTGTGCTAGCAATACTAGACCATACTCATTTTAACCAACTGTAATTTTGTACCCATCAAGAAATCCCACTTTCTCTCCAACCCCCTACTACTATTCCTAACTTCTGGTAACCAGCATTCTACTCTATATCACCATTAGTTCAATTGTATTACATTTTAGCTCCCCAAAAATGTGTGAGAACATGCAAAGTTTGTCTTTCTTCCTGGCTTATTACGTTTAATATAAGTCTTTCAGGGTGATACATATTGTCCCAAGTTATAAGATTTTCTTTTTTTCTCAAGAATAAACAGTATTCCATTGTGTATATATACCATATTTTCTATATCCATTGGTCTATTGATAGACACTTAGGTTGATTCCTTAGCATAGTGACTATGAATAGTACTGCAATAAACATGAGTGTGCAGATACCACTTCCATATATTAATTTCCTTTCTTTCGGGCATATATCTAGCAATGTGATTGATGGATCATATGGGAGCTCTACTTTTAGTTTTTGAGGAACCTCCAAAGTGTTCTTCATAGTGGTAATATTAATTTACATTCTGACCAACAGTGTAGGTGAATTCCCTATTGTCCACATCCTCGCTAGCATTTATTATTGCCTGTCTTTTGGATAAAAGCCATTTTAACTGGGGTGAGAAAATATTTCATTACAGTTTTGATTTGGATTTCCCTGATGATCAATGGCGTCAAAAACCTTTTTATATGCCTGCTTGCCCTTTGCATGTCTTCTTCAAAAAAATGTTCATTCAGATCTTTTGCCCATTTTTAATTGAATTATTAAATTTTCTTTCTTATAGCGTTATTTCAGCTCCTTCTATATTCTGGTAATTAATCCCTTGTCAGATAAATAGTTTGCAAATATTATCGCCCATTGTGTGGGTTTTTACTTCACTTTGTTGACTGGTTCCTTTGCTGTGCAGAAACTATTTTACTTGATGTGATCCCATTTGTCCATTTTTGTTTTGGTTGCCTGTACTTCTGAAATATTACTCAAAAAAATAATTGTCCAGACCAGTGTTCTGGAGAGATTCCTGAAGGTTTTCTTTTAGGATTTTAAAATATTTATGTCTTAGATTTAAATCTGTAATGCATTTTAAGTTGATTTTCTGTGTTTTGTGAGAGATAGGGGTCTATATTCATTTTCCTTCCTATATATATTTAGTTTTCCCAGCAGCATTTATTGAAGAGATAGTCCTTTTCCCGATTTATGTTTCTGGTAACTTTGTCGAAAAGGAGTTCACTGTAGATGCATGGATTTGTTTCTGAGTTATCTATTCTGTTCTATTGGCCTATGTGTCTGTTTTTATGCCAGTGCCATGCTATTTTGATTACTTATAGCTCTGTAGTATGGTTTTAAGTCCTGTAATATAATTCCTCCAGTTTCATTCCCTTTGCTCAGGATGGCTATACTTTTGTGGTTCCATATAAATTTTAGGATTGTATTTTCTATGTCTGTGAAAAAAAGTCATTAATATTTTAATAAGGATTCTGTTCAATCTGTAGATTGTTTTGGGTAGTATGTGCTTTTAAAAAACATTGATTATTCCAGCCCATGAAGATACATTTTTTTTTTATTTTTTGTGTCCTCTTCAATTTCTTTCATCAGTGTTTCATAGTTTTCATTTTAGAGATCTTTCACTTCTTTGTTTAAAGTCATTTCTAAGTATTTCATTTTATATGTAGCTATTGTAAATGAAACTACTTTCTTGATTTCTTTTTCAGAGTGTTCATAGTTGACATAAAGAAATGTTATTGATTTCTGGCTGGGTGTGGTGGCTCACTCCTGTAATCCCAGCACTTTGGGAGGCCAAGATGGGCAGATCACGATGTCAGGAGATAGAGACCATCCTGGCTAACACGGTGAAACCCTGTCTCTACTAAACACACACACACACACACATACACAATTAGCTGGGTGTACTGGCGGGCGCCTGTAGTCCCAGCTACTCCGGAGGCTGAGGCAGGAGAATGGCATGAACCCAGGAGGCGGAGCTTGCAGTGAGCCGTGCAGTGAGCCATGCAGTGAGCTGAGATCACGCCACTGCACTCCAGCCTGGGCGACAGAGCTAGACTCCATCTCTAAAAAAAAAAAAACAAAAAGTTATTGATTTCTGTATGCTGATTTTGTATCTTGCAACTTTGCCAGATTTGTTTACAAGTTCTAACAGATTTTTGGTGTAATATTTAGGTGTTTCCAAATATAAGACCATATCATCTGTAAAGAGATAATTGACTTCTTCCCTTCAAATTAGGATGCCCTCAATTTTTTTCTCTTGTCTGATTTCTCTAGCTAGGACTGATTTTGCGTTTGATTTGCTCTGGCTTTTCTAGTACTTTAAAATGCATCATTAGGTTATTTGAAGTTTTTCGTCTTTTTTGCTGTAGGCCCTTATGGCTATAAATTTCCCTCTGAGTACTGCTTTTACTGTGTCCCATATGTTTTAATGTGTTGTCTTGCATTTATTATTTGTTTCAAGACATTTTTTAATTTTTAAAATTTCTTAATTGACCCACTGGTCATTCAGAAGTGTATTGTTTAATTTTTATGTGTTTTTATAGTTCCCAAAATTTCTCTTGTTATTGATTTCTAGATTTCATTGTAGTCATAGAAGATGTTTGATATTATTTCAATTTTTGAATGCTTGAAGACTTGCTTTTTCACCTAAGTATAATATATCCTTGAGAATTATTTATGTGCTGAAAAGAAAAATGTGTTTTTGCCATTGGAGAAAATTTTCTGTAAGTATCTATTAGGTTTATTTTTTTTTCTATAGTGCAGATTAAGTCTGAAATTTCTTGGTTGATTTTCCGTCTAGAAGATCTGTCCAGTGAGAAGAGTGAGACGTTGAAATCTCCAGTTATTATTGTATTGGGGCCTGTCTCTCTCTTTGGCTATAATAATATTTGCTTTATATATTTGGATGCTCCAGCATTGGATGTGTATATATTTATGTTTGTTAATTTTTGTCTTGCTGAATTGATTCCTTTTTCTTATATAGTGACCATTTTTTTGTCTCTTCTTATAATTTTTCATCTGGAAATCTATCTTGTCTAATATAGATATATCTACTCCTGCACTTTTCTGGTTTCTACTGGCATGGAATAATATTTTCCATCACTTTATTTTCTGTCTGTGTGTATCGTTATAGGTGTAGTATGATTCTTGTAGTCAACAGATAATTGGGCCTTGCTTGTTTATCCATTCAGTCACTTTATGTCTTTTGATTGGAGAGTGTAGTACATTTACATTTAATGCATTTACATACAATGTTATTATTGATAAAGACTTATTCCTGCCATTTTGTTATTTTTTGTTTGTTATGTAACCTCTTTCTTCTCTATTTCCTTATTGTTTTACTTTTAGCAAAGGTGATTTCCTGTAGTGGTATTATTTAATTTATTGCTTTCTATTTTTTGTGAATCTGATATATGTTTTTCCATTTGAAGTTACCATGAGGCTTGCAAATACAATTTTATAGTTCGTTATTTTAATCTGTTGACAACTTAATACTATTTGCCTAAACAAACAAACAAAAAGAAAACAAATAGAAGCTACACTTTATCTTCGTGCCCTCTTCTTTAACATTTTGTTGTTTCTCTTTATGTCTTATTGTTCTATGTCTTGAAAAGTTATTGTAATTAGCTTTGTTTAGTTCATCATTTAGATTTTCTGTTTAAAGGTAGTTCACACACCACAATTACAGTGCTATGATTTTCTGTACTTTTGTGAGTACTTAGTATTACCAGTGAGTTTTGTAACCTCAAATGATTTCTTAATGCACATTAACATCCTTTTTGTTCAGATTGAAGAACTCTCTTTAGCATTAGGATAAATCTGGTGTTTATAAAATCTCTCAGCTTTAGTTTGTCTGGAAAAGTTTTTATTTCTATTTTATTCTTGAAGAATATTTTTGCTAAATGTACTATTCTAGGGTAAATTTTTTTTTTAATTTTTTCTTCAGCACTTTAAATATGTCATGTCACTCTCTCCTGACCTGTAAGGTTTCCACTATGTTTGCTGCCAAATGTCCTGGGTCTCCATTGTATGTTATTATTATTTTTTTTTATTCTTGCTGCATTTAGGATCTTTTCTTTATCTTTGACTTTTGAAAGTTTGATTATTATATGCTTTGTGTTAGCGTTCTTTTTGTTCTATAACTTTCTTGTACCTGAATGTTGATATATTTCTCCAGGTTTGTGATATTCTCTGATATTATTTCCTTGAATATATTTTCTACCCCATTTTTTCTGTATCTCTTGTTTAAGGCCAATAACTCTTAGATTTGCCCTTATGAGGCTATTTTCTAGACTTTGTCAGCATGCTTCATTATTTTTATTCTTATTTTGTCTCCCTGACTGTTTATTTTCAAATAGCCTGCCTTCAACTCACTAATCCTTTATTTTACTAGATTAATTCTGCTTATAAAATAGACTGATGCATTCTTCAGTATGTCAATTGCATTTTTCAACTCTGGAATTTCTGCTTGGTTCTTTTTAATTATTTCAATCTCTTTATTAAATTTATCTGATAGAATTTTTAATTCCTTCTCTGTGTTATGTTGAATTTCTGTGAGTTTCCTCAAAACAACTGTTTTGATTTCCATGTTTGAAAGGTCACGTATTTCTGTTTCTTCACTATTGGTTCCTACTGCCTTGTTTAGTTTATTTGGTGAAGTCATGTTTTCCTGGATGGTCTTAATGCCAGTGGGTGTTCGTTCATTTCTAGGCTTTAAATAGTTAGATATTTACTTTAGTCTTCACAGTCTGAGTTTGCTTGTGTCTGCCTTACTTGAGAAGGCTTTCCAGGTATTTTAAAGGACTTGGGCCCAAAGTGCAATAAAGTTGTGGTTCTTGTAGACTCATAAAGGTACCACCTTGGTAGTCTACAGTAAGATCTTTGAAACTGAATTGCCAGAACTGCACTCTTGTTTCTTTCCCTTACTTTCTCCAAAACAGATTATCTCTCTGTGTGTTGAGCCACCTGGAGCTAAGGGTGAAGTGATACAAACATTCCTGTGGCCACCACCACTGGGACTGTGCTGCATCAGACCTGAAGCCAGCACAGCACTGGGTCTTGCCCAAGGCCCGCTATAAACACTACTTGGTTATGACCTATGTTCCCTCAAAACCCTAGGACTCTACAATAAGTAGATGGGGTAACTAGCCAGATTTGTGCTCTTCTTTTCAGGATGGTGAAGTCCCCCAGGCTCCAGGAAGATCCAGAGATGCTATCTGGGAGCCAAAGATTGGAGTCAAAAACCTTTGAAATCTTCCTGATGATTTATTTTATTGTGGCTAAGCTGGCCCTCAAACCATGAGGCAAACTCCTTCTCACTTGTCTCTCCACTTTTTACAGGCAGAGGAGTGTTTCCTGATGGCCACCAGAACCACAGGACAATGAGGTATTTTCCAGTCCACCACTGATGTTCACTTAAAACCCAATGACTCTTCAGTCAGCTTGTGGTGAAGGCTGCCAGGCCTGGTACAACTCTTAAAAGCAATGGGCTTCCCTCTGGCTCAGGGTGGGTCCAACATGCTGTCCAAGAGCCTAGACCTGGACTCAGAGACCCCAAATGCCCACTTGATGCTCTAACCCACTGTGGTTGAGTTGGTACCTAAGGAGTCAAAGTCCCCTTTACCTTTCTCTCTGCTTTTCTCAAGCAGAACTTTTTCACTCTAGCCACCACAGCTGGGAAAGCGCTGGGTCACACCTAAAGCCAGCACATATGAAAGTCTCACCCAAGGCCCAAGGCATACTACCTGGGTATTGCTGTTGGTTATTCAGGGCCCAAGGACTCTTTAGTCAGCAGATGATAAATTCTGCCAGACTGGGTTCTTTCATTTAAGAAAGTGCATTCCCTTCTGGACCACCGAGTGTCTAGAAATGTCTGGGAGCTAGGATCTGGAATGGGATCCTCATGGCTCTGCCTGTCACCCTATCTTATTGTGGCTGAGCTTCTATTCAAGATTAAAAACAAGTATTCTTTACTCTTTGCTCTCCTCTCTTCAAGAAGAAAGGAGTCACTTTTGTTATTATCTGCTTTTCCTGTAGTCGGTGGAGTGGGAGGAATGGCTTAAGCACTCCCTTAGCCCCTTGACTGGTGTCTCCCTAAGTCACATGCCAGCTAATCTACTGGGTCTAAGCCCATCCGAGCACTAGAAATTGCCTAGGAATTGCAGTCCTTGTGTCTTAGACTGTTTTTCAAGTTTACCTTGGACCTCAGAGCACATCAGGTCATGGTGGCGAGACTTGCCAAAACTCAAGTTCCAACTGCAGGGTTGGAACTTTCTTTATCTTATTTGACTTCTCAGCAGCATTCAGTACAATTGATGAACCCCTCTCTGATCTAGACTTTTCTCTTGAATTTTTACACTTTTAAAATGTATTTCTCCTTTTTCTTTTTTTTACTGATACTATTATTATTATATTATTAGTAGTATTATTTATTTTCATAGGTTTTGGGGGAACAGGTGGAATTTGGTCCCATGAGTAAGTTCTTTAGTGATGATTTGTTAGATTTTGGTGCAGCCATCACCTGAGCAGTATACACTGAACCCAGCTTGTAGTCTTTTATCGCTCACCCCTCTCCCACCTTTTCCCCCAAGTCCCCAGAGTCCATTATATCATTCTTACTGCCTTTGCATCCTCATAGCTTAGCTCCCACTTATGGGTGAGAAGATTCAATGTTTGGTTTTCCATTCCTGAGTTACTTCACTTAGAATAATAATCTCTAGTTCCATCCAGGTTGCTGTGAATGCCATTAATTACTTCCTTTTTTATGGCTGAGTAGTATTTCATCATTTATATCTCTATCTCTATCTATCTATCTATCTATCTATCTATCTATCTATCTATCTGTCATCTATCTACATAGATATCCCAATTTCTTCATCCACCTGTTGACTGATAGGCATTTGGGTTGGTTCCATATTTTTGCAATTGTGAATTGTGCTATTGTGCTGCTATAAACATATGTGTGCAAGTATTTTTTTTTTTTTTGTATAATAACTGCTTTTCTTCTCTGGCCATGGCTGGTCCAAATGCTTTCTTCCTGGGTGTGTTCCAGCTGAGCCCAACATGGCTTTGTTTTCTGTGCCACATGGCAGTTGTCAGGGGGAAGGGGAGGGGTGGTGTCAGCAATTCAAGACTGCCTTTCATACTTTCTTCAATGCCCATCTTGCTCCACCGCCTATGCATCTTTAATTTTGATAAACATTGCTAAATTATTCTCTTAGAATTTGTGTAATTTTGTGTTCTCAGTAGTATTGTATAAAAAATCCTTTTTCCCTAGAGATGTGTCAACAGAGTATATTGTCAAACTTGTATTTTTTCCAATCTAATAAGTAAGAAATAGTCTCCTAGTGTACTTTTTACTTGCATTCCTCTTACAGTGCTAATGGTTGAGTGCATTTGAATTACTTTTTCTGAAACTCTCACATGTCTCTGCTCATTTTTTAATATGAAATTTATGTGCCTCACTACTTTATTCTAGTAAAGTATTTTACTTTAGTACTTTAGTACTTTATTCTAGTAAGAATAATAACTAAAATTAGCTGGACTTTTTAAAAGTAGAGCCTGATATTATACTCTCTCTAAAATGGTCTAAGGTAACTGTACACTCATCCAGCCTGTGTGGCTGCTCTTGGTACCAACTTGCCTCAATTGACAGCTTGTGGCTCTTTTCCAGTGTCAGCTTATTTTGTAACCTTCCTGGAGTGATGAGAAACTATGAACTTTTCTTTTTTTCTGTAGCTAGTTACTCTCACCTTTCTTTTCCACTAATCTTGTGAGAATGGGAGGCAATTTTTAAAACTTGTTTGGGCTTTTACTCAAGCAATCTGTATCTTCATGTAAAGGTCCCTATATCTAAAAGGAAAATAATCAGATTTAATCTAAAATTAGTCATTTATAAAATAAAAACTTCAGCCAAGAGTAACTCATTAAACCATAAAGACAATCTAAAGATATCTTTAGACATAGAAGAAATCATTAATCTCACCATTTACAGAATAAATTATTTGAACAATAAGGAACTTATAGTTAATGTATTCTACTGTAAACAGTAAATGAAGCAGAATGAAGTACTAGTATGGGATTAAGTTACAGTGAATACACTCATCCATTACTCAAGCAATTAAAATCAAATTAACAATAAGGAAAAAGAGAAAGAGTTTTTTATTCTGGTTATTTCCTCACCTATCACACTCTTATCAATCCTTCCTATCAATGTCAACTCTGCACTTAAAAAAGCTGCCAACATTTTTCTATCTTTATCTTATTTGAACTCTCAGCAGCATTCAGTACAAGTGAAGACCTTCTCCCTGATCTAGTCTTTTCTTTTGAATATTTACACTTATTTTTCTAGTATTTCCCCTTTTTTATTTTTTCTATGTACCTAGACACTTATCAGTGTCCTTTATATATTTTTAATGTTCTGATAATCCATTAAACATGGCAATTCTTCAAGGTTATGTCTAAAACTCCTCTTTTTTCTTATTATTTTATATTCTATTCTATGTGCCTAGTGTCCTCATGATGTCTCATTCTATTTAGGAGTACACTATTGTACTGTTATTATTAAATTCAACTTGGCTATTTCAAGCTGAGTTTCATGGGAGAGCAATGGTAGTGTCATCAAAACCTAGTCCAAAGTTTTTCTAGTTCAAATATTTGGTTTTAATGGCCTGAAAGAGGTAATGAAATTATTATGAACTTATTTATGTCAAAATCATAAATCATAAGTATAGATACAATAGAAATACTGTTTATTCATTTTAACCAGGAGAAACACTTGTATTTTCTTTTTAAGGCAACCTACCCACATAACAAAGTATGAGGTAAAATAAATCAATGAACAAAAATGTGCTAGCTAAGTACAGACAAAAGAAATTCCAACTTGTTTGATAAATGTTCTCCTAAGCTATGGTAGTGCTTGCTCCAGTATATACAGTGTCTCTTTTTAGTCACTTAAACACTTGCATTCACCAGATGCCCTAACATCTTTCCATTCTTACCCAATGCTGACAAATTTTATTTTCTAATTTTCTCATTTGCTAAATTCCATGAGAAACTCTATCTGTTTCAGTGGCTCATTAGCATGTTACAACAATCCAGTGTTATCCTGTATCTTACATTTAATTGAACTGTAGGGTAGTTGCTTCTATCACTTTAATTGCATAAGTATTTTGAATTATATTATTTGCTAAAATAATTTCATTATTTCTGTGTTGATTCTGAACAAGTTTGGTTTTAGAAAGTGATGCTTCTTAAATTTTATCCTACATTTTAGGGATATATACTATTTGAGGAACTTCTCTCTACCTACTGATGATGCCACCTTTTCCACTGGTATCATACTTGGTATCATATTTAATGCTTGCATCCCTATGTCTACAAAGACTCCCATTCTCTTATAATCCTTTTTTTTTAAAAAGAAGTCACATTAAATAATTATTTGAAAAACTAAATCATTTATTTATGCAAATATTTATTGAGCAGCAGTATATATTAGGCACTAAAGATGTGGCATTAAACAAACAAATAAGATCTCAGCTCTTATGGAGGAGAAAGAGAATCAGTAAGCACAAATTTGAATCAATGAATATTACTTTAAGGGTTAAGAAGCAAAAGTATTGGATGAAATATGAGGATAACAAGGTAATTTTATTTAAATTAGAGGTAAAAGAAGACATGAATACCCAATATAGCAAATTAATATGCTTTCCTTTCAAATGAAAAATATTCGTTCTAAACTTAAGTGGACCTGACTACACAACAAACATTTTCTTGACCGTACTACACTGCCTGCTTGATGAGAAATCTTAAATTCAAATTACCACACAAAATACAAATTTCAGAAGATAGCATTTTTGTCATTATCTGGTACTAAATTGATTGAGATTTAGCATCTTATGATTTATATTTGAAAGATATTTTGTCTCAATTTTAAAATTCAAGGTTTCAAGACTTTTTAAATTATTTCATGTTAAATGTAAAATTTCAAAGTTTTTTGGTGTCTAATCAAATATAAACTAAGTTAATATAAAAATAATTGTAAGAGGATGATTGACTAGAGGCAGCCGGTAAAAACATCTCAAAGTGGTCCACTCTCATCATATAATTCTGGAACCCTGGTGCCAGGAGACCACATGACCCCCACAGACATTGGAGCTGGCAGAGAGAGAGAGAGGAAGAGAGAGAAAAAGAAAGAGAGAGAGGGAGATGTTTGGAGTGGTGGCAGGGACAGGACACTAGCCTGCACAGAGCCCAGAGGGTTTGGTGCAGGAATGGCTTCAGTGGAGCACAGACAAGGATGCTTATCTCCCAAGGCTAACGATGCTACTCTAGGTGGCTTTTAACTTTGTTGACTTCTAAACCTGGACAGAGCAGCGTAGTCCTGCCCAGGGGATGAGACCAGTTTGATCTGTGTGCCCCTGTCTGCTGATCTCTAGAGGTATTTTTGTCTGTCCACACCGACTTGTATTGCAGCCTATGATGCCCAATTAGACTGCCTCCTGGCAGCCACTGCCATACCTCTTTTGCTGGTAAATCATGCCTAACCATCGTGGAGCTTCAGCAGATGGGCTTCCACTGGCAAACCCCCACCCATGCACAGCCTCCTGCCACTGCAGCCTCCCCAAACTCCTTTACTGATTCACAAGGATAGGACTCACTGTCTCATCCAAGCTGGTAAATACACACATCTCAATGCCATGTCATTGTCACTGTCAGGATGTGTGCAATGATGCTGCCTTCCCAACCCTGCCAGTGCAGACACATCCCACTGCCCTGGCCCTACCAGAGAACTGTCCCCACTGACACACATAAACCCTGCAATGCCAATGCCACTGCTGGCACACAAGTGCACATGTTGACCCTGCTGCTGCTGCCCCAATAAAACATTTTGGCTGGCACTATACAGCTACGTGTTGCTACCAGTGGTCAGGAACACCTCAGACCCTCTAGCACAGATGATATTTAACATCAAAGGGCCATAGAACAAAGCTGTGGACCTGGTACCAGACCCCAAGATGAGAGCATGCAGCCTAGGAGTGCTGAGCTGAGACTTGTCCCCTTGAAATCTCCCAGAAACAAAGCCAGTTGACCCACCTTATACCACAGTCAAACCGTCAAGGGCATCATAGAATATGAAAGCAAAAACCCCATCCAAATGACAGCAACTTCAAAGATTAAAGGAACATCAGCCCACACTGAAGAAAGAGAAACAATACAAGAAGACTGGCAACTCAAAAAGCCAGAGTGTCTTCTTAACTCCAAAAAACTGTGCTACTTCCCATCGATGGTTCTTAACCAGGCTGAAATGGCTAAAATGACAGACATAGATTACAAAATATGGAGAGTAACAATGATCATCGAGATTCAAAGAAAGTCAAACTGCAATCCAAGAAATCTAAGGAATTCAATAAAATAATATAAATGCTGAAAGACAAAATAGCAAATTTAAGAAACAACCAAATAGATATGATAGAGCTAGCAAACTCACTACAAAAATTTCTCAATACAACTGAAAGTATTAACAGCAGGATACACCAAGCTGAAGAAATAATTTTTGAGTTTTAAAACCAGTTGTTCAAAACTACTCAGTCAGATACCAAATTAAGAAAAAATAACAAAAATGAATAAACCAAGACTCTGAGAAATATAATATTACATAATGATGTCAAACTTAAGACTCATCAGAATCCCTGAAAGAGAGGGGAAAAAGAGCAACCAACTTGGAAAACATATCTGAGGATATTGACCACAAAATTTTTCCCAACCTTGCTAAAGAGGATGACATTCAATTTCAGAAAATGTAGAAAACCCCTTTTCGATACTATACATCACCAAGACACATAGTCATTGGATCCTCAAAAGTCAATATTGAAGAAAAAATATTAAAGTCAGCTAGACAGAAGGGGAAGGCCATGAACAAAGGGACACCAATCAAGTTAACAGCAGATCATTCATCATAAACCTTACATGCCAGAAACAATTGGGGATCTACATTCAGCATTCTTAAAGAAATAAATGCCAACCAATAATTTTATATTCAGCCAAACTAAGCTTTATAAGCCAAAAAATAAAATAAAAAGAAATGAACAGACAGAAAACAAAAAGTAAAAAGATTGGGAAAGAGCCATCAAACATATGGAAATTATAAAACAGCAGTGGTTGCTATTCTCATTTCAGACAAAAAAAAAAAGACTTTAAGCCAACAATGATCAAAAAAGACTAAAAAGGGCAGTATATAATGATAAAGGATTCAATTAAACAAGAGGACTTCATCATCCAATATATCTATGCACCCAATATTAAAGCACTCAGATTTATAAAATAAGTTCATAGAGACCTACAACAGGACTTAGGTAACCACACAATAATAGTGGGAGACTTCAACACATCAATGACAGTCTTATACACATCATCAAAGGAGAAAACTAACAAAGATACTTGGGACCTAAACTTGATGCTTGAACAAATGGACCTAACAGACATCTATGGAACAGTTCACCACACCACAAGAGAACACACATTCTTCTCATCTGCATATGGTACATACTCTAAAATCGACCACATAATCATCCATAAAACAATTTAAATATACCCAAATCATACAAACCATACTCTCTTTAAAAATACCCAAATCATACAAACCACATTCACAGACCACAGCACAATAAAGATAGAAATCAATACTATGAAGATAGCTAAAAACCATATAATTACATAGAAATTAGCAATCTGCTCCTGAATGATTTTGGAATAAATAATGAAATTAAGGCAGACATCAGGAAATTCTTTGAAATTAATGAAAGCAAAGATACAGCATACCAGAATCTCTGAGACACAGCTAAAGCAGTGTTAAGAAGAAAGTTTATAGCAGTAAACACCCACATTAAAATTATAGAAAGAAAGATCTCAAAATAACAACCTAACATCAAACAGAAAGGAACTAGGAAAACAAGAATACACCAAACCCAAAGCCAGCAGAAGAAAGAAAATAACCAAAATCAGAGCTGAAATGTATGAAATTTAGATCAAAAACATAGAAAAGGTCAATGAAACCAAAAGTTGCTTATTTTCAGTGAATAAATAAGATTGATAGACCAGAATGACATACTATCTCACATCAGTCAGAATGGCTATCATTATCAAAAAATTAACAGCTGGCAAGGTTGCAGAGAAAATGAAATGCTTATACACTGCTGGTGGCGGTGTAAATTAGTTCAACCATTGTGAAAAGTAGTGAGGTAATTTCTCAAAGAACTAAGAACAGAACTACAATTTGATCTAGAAATCCCATTGCTGCGTATAAGCCTAAAGGAATATTAATTGTTCTACCATAAACACACATGCATGCATGTGCGCTCAATTGCATGTGCATATGTTGATCACAGCACTATTCACAATAGCAAAGACATGGATTCAACCTAAATGCCCATGAACAGTAGATTGAATTTTAAAAATGTGCTACATGTAGACCATGAAATACTATGCAGCCATAAAGAAGAATGGGATTATGTCTTTTGCAGCAATGTAAATGGAGCTGGAGGCCATTATCATTAGTGAGCTAATGCAGAAACAGTAAACAAAATATTGCATGTTCTCACTTGTAAGTGGGAGCTAAATAATGAGAACCAGTGAGCACAAAGAGAAGAACAACAGACACTTGGGCCTATTTGAGGGAAAAGGGTGAGAGAAGGGAGAAGATCAGAAAAAATAACTATAAGATACTATGCTTAGTACAGGGGTGATGAAATAATCTATACAAAAAACCCCCACGGCACATGTTTACCTATATAACAAACCTCCACATGTACCCCTGATCTTAAAATAAAAGTTAAAAAAAGAAAAAAGAGAAAACAAAAACCACATGACAATCCCAATTGATACAGAAAACATATTCAACAACGTTCAAAATTCTTTCTGATAAATACTGTCAACCGTTTAAGTGTGGAAGTATTCCTCAAAATAACAAACACCATTTATGAAAATTACACAGCTAACATCATAATTAATGAGAAGAAATGGAAAGTTTTTTCTCTAAAATCTCATATGAATTAGCTTTCTCCCCTTCTAGTCAACATAATACTAGAAGTACTATCAAGAACAATCAAACAACAAGAAGACATAGTATGTATGAAAATTGGAAAGAAAGAAGTAAAATTATCTCCATTCGCAGATAACATAATTCTATATGGATAAAACCCAACACATTCAAACAGAAAACCTATTATAACTAATAAATGATTTTGTAAAGTTGTGGGATACAAACTCCACATACAAAAATTCATGGTATTTTTATATATAACCAATGACCTACCCAAAAAGGAAATCAAGAAAACAATTTGACTTACAATTGCATCAAAAATATACTTAGGAATAAATTTATCTAAGGAAGTGAAAGAGTTGTGCACTAAAAACTATAAAGTGTTAATGAAAGTAATTAAAGAGGACACAAATAATGGAAACATATTTTATGTCACAGATTGGAATAATTAGAATTAAAGTGTCTACATATGTTGAATATCCCTTTCCTGAAATTCTTGAGAGTAAAAAATTTTGATTTTCGGATTTTTTGAATTTTAGAATATTTACACATACCTAATAAAATATCTTGAGGATGGGACACAATTCTAAAGACAAAATTTATTTATCTTTTATATACATTTTATACAAATAGCTTGAAATTAATGTCATAATATTTTCAATAACTGCAGAAAACAAAGTTTTGATTACATTTTTACTGTGACACATGACATAAGGTCAGTTGTAAAATGTGCTACTTGTTAGGTCATATCAGTGCTCAAAATGTTTAAGATTTTAGAGAATTTTTATTTGGGATTTACATATTAGAGTTACTCAACCCGTACTACCCAAATGAACGTATAGATACAATGCGATTTCTATCAATATCCCAATGGCATTCTTCACACAAATGCCTTTGTTTGTAAAATTCCTTTGGGACCATCAAAGACCCTGAATAGCCAAAGCAATTATGAGGTTAAAAAAAAAACGGGCCCGAAGTTTTCTTACTTGAAATTATATTACAAAGTTAAAGTAATTCAAACCGTAGGAATCTGGCATAAAAACGAACACATAGGCCAGTGGAACAGAATAGAGAGCACAGAAATAAAGCCAAATACATACAGTTAACTAATTTTTGACAAAGAAACCTGAAAGACAATGGAAATACTGTAGTCTCTTCAATAAATAGTGTTGGGAGAATTGAATTCTGACGTGCAAAAGAATAATATTGGACTCTTAGGCCATTCACAACTATCAACTCAAAATGGATAAAAGACCTAAATATAAGACCTGAAACCATAAAACTCCTAAAAGAAAACATAGAGGAAAAGCTCATTGAAATTGGCCTTGGCAATGATTTCCTGGATATCACACCAAAAGCTCAGGCTACACATGCAAAAAATAAATTAATAAATAGGACTACATGAAACTAAAAAGCTTCTACATAGCAAAAGAAACAATCAATAAAATGAAAAGGCAATCTATGTTTCACCCTTTGACCTATAACTTCCCATTTTCTCCCACCACCTCTACCTCTGGTAACCACTGTTTTATTCTTTATCTTAGTATATTTGACTTATTTTTATTGCACATATAAGTGAAATTATAAAATATTATTCTTTCTGTGTTTGGCTTATTTGGACTTACTATAATGTCCTCAAGGTTTATCCATGTTTGGCAAATAGTGGAATCTCCATTCTAAAGGCTGAACAAGTCTAGAGTTCTAATGTACAACAGGAGGATTATAGTTAATATAATTGTATTAGTATTTGTATTGTATTGTTAATTAGTAATTTTTGTTAAATAAGTAGATTTTACCTGTTCTTGTCACAAAAAGTAACTATTTGAGATGATAAATATGTTTATCTCTTTCACTATAGTAACCACATTACTATCTATGTTTATTCCATAACATCATATTAAAGCTTCAAATATACACAATAAAATTTATTTTTTTTAAAGAAAACCTACATGTGGGTAAAAAAAAAATTCAAATCATTATCTGATAAGGGGTTAATATGCAAAATTTATAAAGAACTCACACCACTCAAAAACAAGAAAACACATCACCTGATTTAAAAAAGAAAAAAATATATATCTGAATAGATATTTCACCGAAGAATACATAAACGTGGTCAACAGTTATATAAAAAGATATTCAACATCACTAATCATCATGGAAAGCAAGTGAAAAGCACTATAAGACATCACCTCACACCCATTAGAATGGCTATTATCAAAAAGACAAGAGAGCAAATGTTGGTGAGGGTGTGGAGAAAATGGAAGCTTTGCGGACTGTTGGTGGGAATGTAGATTCGTGTAGTTATTATGGAAAAGAGTATGAATGTTTCAAAAATTTAAAAATACAATTACCATATGCACAAGCAAACCTTCTCCTAGGCACATATCCAAAGGAATGAAATAACCACATTATAAATATATCTGCACTCCCATGTTCACTGTAGCATTATTTGCAATAGTCAAGATATGAAAACAATGTATGTGTCCATTGATGGAAAAATGGATAAAGAAATATATATATATGAACATACAAATACATACATGTGTATATATATGTATATACACACATTTATATAAATATTATTCAGCCTTTAAAAAGAAGGCTATCTTGTCATATACCACAACATGGATGAACCTGGAGAACATAATGCTAAGTGAAAGAAAACAAACACAGAAATAAAATTATTGCATGATCTCACTTATATGCAGAATCTAAAAATGAAAACAGGTCAAATATACAGAGATAGAGAATTAAACAGTGGTTACCAGGGGCAGAGTGAGGGAAAAAATAGGAAGATGTAGGACAAAGATGCAAAGTTACAGATGTGTTTGACGAATAAGTCTAAAAGTCTAGTGTACAACGTTGGGGCTATAGTTAATAAAAGTGTATTATATTTAGTATTTTTTTCTAAAGGAGTAGCTTATTGTTACTATTGCCCTGGATTGTGGTGAATGGGTAACCTGTGAGACGATGAACATGTTAATTTGTTTCACCATAATAATCACACACACACACAAACATATATAAATATATCTCAAAACATCATGTTGTATTCCTTACCCATACATAGTACAATTTATTTAAATGTACATTGAAAAAGAAAAATGTAAAGCCTTCAAATCAATAATCCAAGTTCCTACATTAAGGAACTAAAAAATAAGAGCAAACCAAACCCAAAGAAAGTAGTAAAGATATCAGCCAAAAATGAATACATTCAAAAACATTAAACAGTATGGAAAATCAAGCAATGGGGGAAATACTCCCTATTCGATAAATGATGCTGTGATAACTGGCTAGCCATAGGCAGAAAATTGAAGCTGGATCCTTTTCTTATGCCATAATACATAAAAATCAACTCAAGTTTAAAGATTTAAATGTAAAAACCCAAACTATAAAAACCATGGAAATACTATTTTGGCCATTTTGGCAAAGATTTCATGACAAAGACACCAAAAGCAATCAAAACAAAAGCAAAATTTGACAAGTGGGATCTAATTAAACTTAAGAGCTTCTGCACAGCAAAAGAAACTATCGAGTAAATAGACGACCTACAGAATAGGAGAAAATATTTGCAAACTATGCATCTTTCAAAGGTCTAGTATTCACATCTATTAGGAACTTAAACAATTTTACAAAAGCAAAATAAACAAGCCCATTAAAAAAGTAGGCAAAGGACATGAACAGACACTTCTCAAAAGAAGATATACATGTGGCCAACAAGCATATGAAAAAAAGCTCGATATCACTAATCATTGGAATAATGCCAGTCAAAGCCACAATGAGATTCTATCTCACATCAGTCAGAGTGGCTATCATAAAAGTCAAAAAATAACAAATGCTGGTAAGGTGGCAGGGAAAAGAGAACACTTATACACAGTTGGTGTGAGTGTAAATTAATTCAACCATTGCGGAAAGCAGTAGGGCAATTCCTCAAAGAACTAAAAGCAGAGCTACAATTCAACCCAGCAAATCCATTACTGGGTATATACCCAGAAGAATATAAATCCTTATACCATAAAGACACATGCATGGAAATGTTCATTGCAACACTATTCACAATAAAAAAGACATGGAATTACCCTAAAGGCCCATCAATGATAGACTGGATAAAGAAAATATGATACATATACACTATGGAATATTATGCAGCCAAAAAAAGAACAAGATCATGTCTTTTGTGGGAACATGGATGAACTTGGAGGCTATTATCCTCAGCAAACTAATGCAGGAATAGAAAACCAAATATCACATGTTTTCACTTATACATGGGAGCTAAATGATAAGAACTTATGAACACAAAAGAGGAAACAACGGACACTAGAGTCTACTTGAGCCAGAAGGGTGGGAGGAGACAGAGGAGCAGAAAAGATAACTCTTGGGTACTGGGCTTAATACCTGGGTGATGAAATAATATGTAAAATGAACCCCCATGATACATGTTCACCTATGTAACAAACCTTTACGTGTACCCCTAAACCTAAAATAAAAGTTTTTGAAAAAGTGAGAAACACTAAAAGAAAGCATATATCAAAACTCCCAGTACTCAGTGTGGACAAAACACATGTAATGACATTTTACTGAAGAAGATATACAGATGACAAATGTACATATGAAAATATGAGTACTTCATTAGCCATTAAAGAAATGCAACATACAACCACAGGAATTATTACTATACATCTATCAGAATGGCTAAAATAAAAACCGTCTAATACAACAATCCCAGTACTGTGTATAGATACAATGGAAATAAAGTGAATATGTTGAAGAGATAGCTATACCCCTGTTTATTGCAGCATTTTTCACAGTAGCCAAGATATGGAATCAACCTAAATGTTGATTTAGATGAATGAATCTATAAAGAATGAATAAAGAATATGTGGTGTACATACACAATGAGTACTATGCAGTCATTTAGAAAATTAAATCTTTTTCTTTTGTGACTACATGGATGAACCTAGGGGACATTAAGTTAACTGAAATAATCTAGATACAGAAAGGCAAATACTGCATGATCTCACTCACATGTGGAACCTAAAACATCGTTCTCATAGAAATAGAGAGTAGAATAGTAGTTGCCAGAGTTTGGGGAAGGGAGGGAAAAGGGAAAGATGGGAAGAGATTGGTCAGGTCAGGGAATACAAAGCTACAGTTAGATAGGAGGAATAAATTCTGGTGTTTTATTGCACAGTAGGATGACTGGAGTTAACAATAATATATATTTCAAAATAAGAAACGGTTTTGAGTGTTCTAGTCACAAAAAATCATGTTTAAAGTGCTAATTACCTGATTGGATCATTACATAATGTATCCATGTATCAAAACATCATGTTGTACCTCATAAATATATACATTATTATGTGCCAATGGCTTAATATCTGGGAGATGAAATAATCTGTAAAACAAACCGCCATGACAGAAGTTTATCTGTATAACAAACCTGCACATGTATCCATGAAGTTAAAATAAAAGTTAAATTTTAAAAAAGGAAATAGAAAATAAAATAAATAAAAACTCCAACATGAATAATGTAGAAAATTTAATCTTTTTTAATTGTTGTAAAAGTACAAATAACATAAAGTTCACCATTTTTAAAATAAACTTACTTAGATTTACCTTTAATACTAATTTTCTTAACTTTTAATTTTTCTGCTTACCTAATAGTTCTGCATATTTATGGGGTACATGTGAAATTTTGGTGCAGTCATACATTGTGTAATGATCAAATTGAGGTAGTTGGGATATGTACCAGTTCAAGCATTTAGCATTTTTGTGTTAGAAACATTTTAGCTTCACTCTTTCAGATATTTTTGAAATATGCAATAAATTATTGTTAACTCTAGTCACCTTGTTGGGGTACTGAACACCAGATATTATTTTTTCTGTCTAAATGTATTTTTGTACTCATTATCATCCCATTTCTATTCTACCCTCCCCACTACCCTTCCCAGCATCTGGTGACCATCATTCTACACTGTATCTTCAAGAGTTAAATTATTTTTTAGCTCTCACATATAAGTGAGAACATGCAGTATGTGTCTTTCGGTGCCTGGCTTATTTCACTTACAAATGGCCAACATGTATGTGAAAAAACTCTCAACAACTTTCATCATCAGAGAAATGCAAAGCAAAACTACTATGAAGTATCATGTCACCCCAGTTAAAATGGATAATATCAAAAAGGAAACACTGGATGCTGGTGAAGATATGGAAACAGGGGAACACTCACACACTGTCAGGGGAAATGTAAATTAGTACAGCAACTATGGAGAGCAGTATGGGGATTCCTTTAAAAAATGAAAAACAAAACTACTATATATCCTAGCAATTTCACTGGTGGGAATATATCCAAAAGAAATAAAAAATCAATATATTGAAGAGACATCTGCACTACTATGTTTATTGGAGAACTATTCACAATAGCCAAGATTTGAACTCAATCTAAGTGTCCATCAGCAAATGTATGGATAAAACTGTGGTATATGTACACACTGGAAATTTATTCAGCCACATAAAAATGAAATCCTATAATTTACAAAAAACATGGATGAAACTGTAGGACATTGTTAAGTAAAATAATCCAGGCACAGAAAGACAAATTTACCATTTTAAACATGTTTAATATTCAGTTTATTGGTATTAAGTACATTTACATTGTTTTGCAACCATCATCACTATCCATCACCACTGCTTTCTTATTTTTGAAAATTGAAACTCTGATCCCATTAAACAGTAACTCCTCATTTCCCTCATCCAGCCCCTGGTAACTACCATTCTATATTTTCTCTTTATGAAATTTGAATACTATACATAGCTAATCCATATTGTAGCATGTGTCAGAATGTTATTTTTTTTCTTTTTAAAAATTACTTTAAACTCCGGGATACATGTGTAGATAGTGCAGGTTTGTTACATAGGTATAAATGTGCCACGGTGGTTTGCTCCACCTATCAACCCATCATCTAGGTTTTAAGCCCCACATGCTTCAGGTATTTGTCCTAAGGCTTTCCCTCCCCTTCCCCACCACCCCACAACAGACCGAGGTGTGCATTCTTCCTCTCCCAGTGTCAATGTGTTCTTATTGTTCAACTCCTACTTAAGAATGAGAACATGCAGTGTTTGGTGTTTTGTTCCTGTGTTAGTTTGCTGAGGATGATGGCTTCCAGCTTCATACATGTCCCTTCAAAGGACATGATCTCATTCTTTTTCAGGGCTGCATAGTATTCCATGGTGTATACATACCACATTTTCTTTATCCAGTCTATCATTGATGGGCATTTGGGTTGGTTCCATGTTTTTGCTATTGTAAATAGTGCTCCCATATACATATGTGCATGTGTGTTTATAGTAGAAAGATTTATATTCCCTTGAGTATATACCCTGTAATGAGATTGCTGGGTCAAATGGTATTTCTGGTTCTCGATCCTTGAGGAACTGCCATACTGTCTTCCACAATGGTTGAACTAATTTACATTTCTACCAACAGTCTAAAAGCGTTTCTATTTCTCCACAGCCTCTCCAGCATCTATTGTTTCCTGACTTTTTAATAATCACCATTCTGACTAGTGTAAGATGGTATCTCATTGTGGTTTTGATTTTCATTTCTCTAATGATCAGTGATGATGAGCTTTTTTCGTATGTTTGTTGGCTGCATAAATGTCTTCTTTTGAGAAGTGCCTGTTTATATCCTTTGCCTACGTTTTGATGCGTTTGTTTGATTTTCTCTTGTAAATTTGTTTAAATTCCTTGTAGATTCTCGATATTAGCCCTGTGTCAGATGGGTAGATTGCAAACATTTTCTTCCATTCTGTAGGTTGCCTGTTTACTATGATGCTAGTTTATTTTGCTGTGCAGAAGCTCTTTAGTCTAATTAGATCTCATTTGTCAATTTTAGCTTTTGTTGCAATTGCTTTTGGTGTTTTCGTCATGAAGCCTTTTCCTATACCTATGTAATGAATGGTATTGCCTAGGTTTTCTTCTAGGGTTTTTATGGTTTGGGGTTTTACATTTAAGTCTTTAATCCATATTGAGGTAATTTTTGTATAAGGTGTAAGGAACAAGGCTAGTTTCAGTTTTATGCATATGGCTAGCCAGTTTTTCAGCATCATTTGTTAAACAGGGAACCCTTTCCTTATTGCCTGTTTTCATCAGGTTTGTCAAAGAACAGATGGTTGTAGATGTGTGGTGTTATTTATGAGGCCTCTGTTCTGCCCCATTGGTATATATTTCTGTTTTGGTACCAATGCCATGCTGTTTTGGTTACTGTAGCCTAGTATAGTTTGAAGTCAGGTAGCATGATGCCTCCAGCTGTGTTCTTTCTGCTTAATATTGATTTGGATATACAGGCCCTTTTTTGGTTCCACATAAAATTTAAAGTAGTTGTTTCTAATTCTGTGAAGAAACTCAATGGTACTTTGATGGAAATAGCATTGAATCTATAAATTACTGTGGGCAGTATGGACATATTGTGATATTGATTCTTCCTATCCATAAGCATGGAATGTTTTTTTTTCTTTTTTTTATTATACTTTAAGTTTTAGGGTACATGTGCACAATGTGCAGGTTAATTACATATGTATACATGTGCCATGCTGGTGCGCTGCACCCACTAACTCGTCATCTAGCCTTAGGTATATCTCCCAATGCTATCCCTCCCCGCTCCCCCCACCCCACCACAGTCCCCAGAGTGTGATATTCCCCTTCATGTGTCCATGTGATCTCATTGTTCAATTCCCACCTATGAGTGAGAATATGCGGTGCTTGGTTTTTTGTTCTTGCGATAGTTTACTGAGAATGATGATTTCCAATTTCATCCATGTCCCTACAAAGGACATGAACTCATCCTTTTTTATGGCTGCATAGTATTCCATGGTGTATATGTGCCACATTTTCTGAATCCAGTCTATCATTGTTGGACATTTGGCTTGGTTCCAAGTCTTTGCTATTGTGAATAATACCGCAATAAACATACGTGTGCATGTGTCTTTATAGCAGCATGATTTATAGTCATTTGGGTATATACCCAGTAATGGGATGGCTGGGTCAAATGGTATTTCTAGTTCTAGATCCCTGAGTAATTGCCACACTGACTTCCACAATGGTTGAACCAGTTTACAGTCCCACCAACAGTGTAAAAGTGTTCCTATTTCTCCACATCCTCTCCAGCACCTGTTGTTTCCTGACTTTTTAATGATCACCATTCTAACCGGTGTGAGATGATATCTCATAGTGGTTTTGATTTGCATTTCTCTGATGGCCAGTGATGATGAGAATTTTTTCATGTGTTTTTTGGCTGCATAAATGTCTTCTTTTGAGAAGTGTCTGTTCATGTCCTTCGCCCACTTTTTGATGGGGTTGTTTGTTTTTTTCTTGTAAATTTGTTTGAGTTCATTGTAGATTCTGGATATTAGCCCTTTATCAGATGAGTAGGTTGCGAAAATTTTCTCCCATGTTGTAGGTTGCCTGTTCACTCTGATGGTAGTTTCTTTTGCTGTGCAGAAGCTCTTTAGTTTAATTAGATCCCATTTGTCAATTTTGGCTTTTGTTGCCATTGCCTTTGGTGTTTTGGACATGAAGTCCTTGCCCATGCCTGTGTCCTGAATGGTAATGCCTAGGTTTTCTTCTAGGGTTGTTATGGTTTTAGGTCTAACGTTTAAATCTTTAATCCATCTTGAATTGATTTTTGTATAAGGTGTAAGGAAGGGATCCAGTTTCAGCTTTCTACATATGGCTAGCCAGTTTTCCCAGCACCATTTATTAAATAGGGAATCCTTTCCCCATTGCTTGTTTTTCTCAGGTTTGTCAAAGATCAGATAGTTGTAGGTATGCGGCGTTATTTCTGAGGGCTCTGTTCTGTTCCATTGATCTATATCTCTGTTTTGGTACCAGTACCATGCTGTTTTGGTTACTGTAGCCTTGTAGTATAGTTTGAAGTCAGGTAGTGTGATGCCTCCAGCTTTGTTCTTTTGGCTTAGGATTGACTTGGCGATGCGGGCTCTTTTTTGGTTCCATATGAACTTTAAAGTAGTTTTCTTCCAATTCTGTGAAGAAAGTCATTGGTAGCTTGATGGGGATGGCATTGAATCTGTAAATTACCTTGGGCAGTATGGCCATTTTCATGATATTGATTCTTCCTACCCATGAGCATGGAATGTTCTTCTATTTGTTTGTATCCTCTTTTATTTCCTTGAGCAGTGGTTTGTAGTTCTCCTTGAAGAGGTCCTTCACATCCCTTGTAAGTTGGATTCCTAGGTATTTTATTCTCTTTGAAGCAATTGTGAATGGGAGTTCACTCATGATTTGGCTCTCTGTTTGTCTGTTGTTGGTGTATAAGAATGCTTGTGATTTTTGTACATTGATTTTGTATCCTGAGACTTTGCTGAAGTTGCTTATCAGCTGAAGGAGATTTTGGGCTGAGACGATGGGGTTTTCTAGATAAACAATCATGTCGTCTGCAAACAGGGACAATTTGACTTCCTCTTTTCCTAATTGAATACCCTTTATTTCCTTCTCCTGCCTGATTGCCCTGGCCAGAACTTCCAACACTATGTTGAATAGGAGCGGTGAGAGAGGGCATCTCTGTCTTGTGCCAGTTTTCAAAGGGAATGCTTCCAGTTTTTGCCCATTCAGTATGATATTGGCTGTGGGTTTGTCATAGATAGCTCTTATTATTTTGAAATACGTCCCATCAATACCTAATTTATTGAGTTTTTAGCATGAAGGGTTGTTGAATTTTGTCAAAGGCTTTTTCTGCATCTATTGAGATAATCATGTGGTTTTTGTCTTTGGCTCTGTTTATATGCTGGATTACATTTATTGATTTGCGTATATTGAACCAGCCTTGCATCCCAGGGATGAAGCCCACTTGATCATGGTGGATAAGCTTTTTGATGTGCTGCTGGATTCGGTTTGCCAGTATTTTATTGAGGATTTTTGCATCAATGTTCATCAAAGATATTGGTCTAAAATTCTCTTTTTTGGTTGTGTCTCTGCCCGGCTTTGGTATCAGAATGATGCTGGCCTCATAAAATGAGTTAGGGAGGATTCCCTCTTTTTCTATTGATTGGAATAGTTTCAGAAGGAATGGTACCAGTTCCTCCTTCTACCTCTGGTAGAATTCGGCTGTGAATCCATCTGGTCCTGGACTCTTTTTGGTTGGTAAACTATTGATTATTGCCCCAATTTCAGCTCCTGTTATTGGTCTATTCAGAGATTCAACTTCTTCCTGGTTTAGTCTTGGGAGAGTGTATGTGTCGAGGAATGTATCCATTTCTTCTAGATTTTCTTGTTTATTTGCCTAGAGGTGTTTGTAGTATTCTCTGATGGTAGTTTGTATTTCTGTGGGATCAGTGGTGATATCCCCTTTATCATTTTTTATTGTGTCTATTTGATTCTTCTCTCTTTTTTTCTTTATTAGTCTTGCTAGCAGTCTATCAATTTTGTTGATCCTTTCAAAAAACCAGCTCCTGGATTCATTGATTTTTTGAAGGGTTTTTTGTGTCTCTATTTCCTTCAGTTCTGCTCTGATTTTAGTTATTTCTTGCCTTCTGCTAGCTTTTGAATGTGTTTGCTCTTGCTTTTGTAGTTCTTTTAATTGTGATGTTAGGGTGTCAATTTTGGATCTTTCCTGCTTTCTCCTGTGGGCATTTAGTGCTATAAATTTCCCTCTACACACTGCTTTGAATGCGTCCCAGAGATTCTGGTATGTTGTGTCTTTGTTCTCGTTGGTTTCAATGAACATCTTTATTTCTGCCTTCATTTCATTATGTATCCAGTAGTCATTCAGGAGCAGGTTGTTCAGTTTCCATGTAGTTGAGCGGCTTTGAGTGAGATTCTTAATCCTGAGTTCTAGTTTGATTGCACTGTGGTCTGAGAGATAGTTTGTTATAATTTCTGTTCTTTTACATTTGCTGAGGAGAGCTTTACTTCCAACTCTGTGGTCAATTTTGGAATAGGTGCGGTGTGGTGCTGAAAAAAATGTATATTCTGTTGATTTGGGGTGGAGAGTTCTGTAGATGTCTATTAGGTCCGCTTGGTACAGAGCTGAATTCAATTCCTGGGTATCCTTGTTGACTTTCTGTCTCATTGATCTGTCTAATGTTGACAGTGGGGTGTTAAAGTCTCCCATTATTAATGTGTGGGAGTCTAAGTCTCTTTGTAGGTCACTCAGGACTTGCTTTATGAATCTGGGTGCTCCTGTATTGGTTGCATATATATTTAGGATAGTTAGCTCCTCTTGTTGAATTGATCCCTTTACCATTATGTAATGGCCTTCTTTGTCTCTTCTGATCTTTGTTGGTTTAAAGTCTGTTTTATCAGAGACTAGGATTGCAACCCCTGCCTTTTTTTGTTTTCCATTTGCTTGGTAGATCTTCCTCCATCCTTTTATTTTGAGCCTATGTGTGTCTCTGCACGTGAGATGGGTTTCCTGAATACAGCACACTTATGGGTCTTGACTCTTTATCCAACTTGCCAGTCTGTGTCTTTTAACTGGAGAGTTTAGTCCATTTACATTTAAAGTTAATATTGTTATGTGTGAATTTGATCCTGTCATTATGATGTTAGCTGGTGATTTTGCTCATTAGTTGATGCAGTTTCTTCCTAGTCTCGATGGTCTTTACGTTTTGGCATGATTTTGCAGTGGCTGGTACTGGTTGTTCCTTTCCATGTTTAGTGCTTCCTTCAGGAGCTCTTTTAGGGCAGGCCTGGTGGTGACAAAATCTCTCAGCATTTGCTTGTCTGTAAAGTATTTTATTTCTCCTTCACTTATGAAGCTTATTTTGGCTGGATATGAAATTCTGGGTTGAAAATTCTTTTCTTTAAGAATGTTGAATACTGGCCCCCACTCTCTTCTGGCTTGTAGGGTTTCTGCTGAGAGATCCACTGTTAGTCTGATGGGCTTCCCTTTGAGGGTAACCCGACCTTTCTCTCTGGCTGCCCTTAACATTTTTTCCTTCATTTCAACTTTGGTGAATCTGACAATTATGTGTCTTGGAGTTGCTCTTCTTGAGGAGTATCTTTGTGGCGTTCTCTGTATTTCCTGAATCTGAACGTTGGCCTGCCTTGCTAGATTGGGGAAGTTCTCCTGGATAATATCCTATAGAGTGTTTTCCAACTTGGTTCCATTCTCCGCATCACTTTCAGGTACACCAATCAGACGTAGATTTGGTCTTTTCACATAGTCCCATATTTCTTGGAGGCTTTGCTCATTTCTTTTTATTCTTTTTTCTCTAACCTTCCCTTCTCGCTTCATTTCATTCATTTCATCTTCCATTGCTGATACCCTTTCTTCCAGTTGATCACATCGGCTCCTGAGGCTTCTGCATTCTTCACGTAGTTCTCGAGCCTTGGTTTTCAGCTCCATCAGCTCCTTTAAGCACTTCTCTGTATTGGTTATTCTAGTTATACATTCTTCTAAATTTTTTTCAAAGTTTTCAACTTCTTTGCCTTTGGTTTGAATGTCCTCCCGTAGGTCAGAGTAATTTGATCGTCTGAAGCCTTCTTCTCTCAGCTCGTCAAAGTCATTCTCCATCCAGCTTTGTTCCGTTGCTGGTGAGGAACTGCGTTCCTTTGGAGGAGGAGAGGTGCTCTGCGTTTTAGAGTTTCCAGTTTTTCTGTTCTGTTTTTTCCCCATCTTTGTGGTTTTATCTACTTTTGGTCTTTGATGATGGTGATGTACAGATGGGTTTTTGGTGTGGATGTCCTTTCTGTTTGTTAGTTTTCCTTCTAACAGACAGCACCCTCAGCTGCAGGTCTGTTGGAATACCCTGCCGTGTGAGGTGTCAGTGTGCCCCTGCTTGGGGGTGCCTCCCAGTTAGGCTGCTCGGAGGTCAGGGGTCAGGGACCCACTTGAGGAGGCAGTCTGCCCGTTGTCAGATCTCCAGCTGCGTGCTGGGAGAACCACTGCTCTCTTCAAAGCTGTCAGAAAGGGACATTTAAGTCTGCAGAGGTTACTGCTGTCTTTTTGTTTATCTGTGCCCTGCCCCCAGAGGTGGAGCCTACAGAGGCAGGCAGGCCTCCTTGAGCTGTGGTGGGCTCCACCCAGTTCGAGCTTCCCGGCTGCTTTGTTTACCTACGCAAGCCTGGGCAATGGCGGGCGCCCCTCCCCCAGCCTCGCTGCCGCCTTGCAGTTTGATCTCAGACTGCTGTGCTAGCAATCAGCGAGATTCCGTGGGTGTAGGACCCTCCGAGCCAGGTGTGGGATATAGTCTCGTGCTGCACCGTTTTTTAAGCCGGTCTGAAAAACGCAATATTAGGGTGGGAGTGACCCGATTTTCCAGGTGCGTCTGTCACCCCTTTCTTTGACTCGGAAAGGGAACTCCCTGACCCCTTGCGCTTCCCAGTGAGGCAATGCCTCGCCCTGATTCGGCTCGTGCTCGGTGCACGCACCCACTGGCCTGCGCCCACTGTCTGGCACTCCCTAGTGAGATGAACCCGGTACCTCAGATGGAAATGCAGAAATCACCCGTTTTCTGCGTCGCTCACGCTGGGAGCTGTAGACCGGAGCTGTTCTTATTCGGCCATCTTGGCTCCTCCTCCCAAGCATGGAATGTTTTTCCATTTATTTATGTCCCCTCTTATTTCATTGAGCAGTGGTTTGTAGTTATTTGAAGAGGTCCTTCTCGTTCCTTGTAAGCTATATTCCTAGATATTTTATTCTCTTTGTAGGGATTGTGAATGGAAATTCATTCATGACTGGGCTCTCTGCTTGTCTACTGTTGGTGTATAAGAACACTTGTAGGACGTGCATGGTGGCTTACGCCTGCAATCCCAGCACTTTGGGAGGCCGAGGTGGGTGGATCACGAGGTCAGGAGTTTGAGACCAGCCTGACTAATATGGTGAATCCCCGTCTCTACTAAAAATACAAAAATTAGCCGGGTCTGGTGGCACACACCTGTAATTCCAGTTACTCAGGAGACTGGGGCAGGAGAATCGCTTGAACCTGGGAGGTGGAGATTGCAGTGAGCCGAGATTGTGACTCTGTCTCAAAAAAAGAACAAAAAAAGAATGCCTATAATTTCTGCACACTGATTTTGTATCCTGAGACTTTGCTGAAGTTGCTTATTAGCTTAAGGAGTTTTGAGGCTGAGACAATGGGGTTTTCTAAATATACAATCATGTCATCTGCAAACAGAGACAATTTGACTTATTCTCTTTCTATCTGAATACTCTTTATTTCTTTCTCTTGCCTGACTGCGCTGGCCAGTACTTTCAGTGTTATGTTGAATAAGAGTGGTGAGAGAGTGCATTATTGTCTTGTGCCAGTTTTCAAAGGGAATGCTTCCAGTTTGTGCCCATTCAGTATGATGCTGGCTGTGGGGTGGTCATAAATATCTCCTATTATTCTGAGATATGTTCCATTAATACCTAGTTTATTCAGAGTTTTTAGCATGAAGGGGTGTTGAATTTTGTTGAAGGCCTTTTCTGCATCTATTGAGATAATCATGTGATTTTTGTCATTGGTTCTGTTTATGTGGTGGATTACGTTTATTGATTTGCATATGTTGAACCAGCGTTGCATCCCAGGGATGAAGCAGACTTGATCGTGGTGGATAAGCTTTTTGATATGCTTCTGGATTTGGTTTTCCAGTATTTTATTGAGGATTTTCGCATTGATGTCCATCAGGGATATTGGCCTGTAATTTCCTTTTTTTGTTGTGTCTCTGCCAGGTTTTGGTATCAGGATGATGCCAGCCTCATAAAATGAGTTAGGGAGGATTCCCTCTTTTTCTATTGTTTGGAATAGTTTCAGAATGAATGGTACCAGCTCCTCTTTGTACCTCTGATAGAATCTGGTTGTGACTTTGTCTGGTCCTGGACTTTTTTGGTTGGTAAGCTATTAATTACTTCCTCAATTTCACTACTTGTTATTGGTCTATTCAGAGATTCGACTTCCTCCTGGTTTAGACTTAGGAGGGTGTATGTTTCCAGGAATTTATCAATTTCTTCTAGATTTTCTAGTTTATTTGTGTAGAAGTGTTTATAGTATTCTCTTATGGTAGTTTTTATTTCTGTGGGATCAGTGGCAATATCCCCTTTATCTTTTTTTATTGTATATATTTGATTCTTCTCTCTTTTCTTCTTTATTAGCCTGTCTAGAAGTCTATTTTGTTGATCTTTTGAAAAAACCAGCCCCCGGATTCATTGATTTTTTTGAAGGGGTTTTCATTTCTCTATATTTTTCAGTTCTGCTCTGATCTTAGTTATTCCTTGTCTTCTGCTAGTTTTTGAATTTGTTTGTGTTGCTTATCTAGTTCTTTTAATTGTGATGTTAGAGTGTCGATTTTAGATATTTTCTGCTTTCTCTTGCAGGCATTTAGTTCTATAAATTTCCGTCTAAACAATGTCTTAGGTGTGTCCCAGAGATTCTGGTACTTTGTGTCTTTCTTCTCATTAATTTCAAAGAACTTATTTATTTCTGCCTTAATTTCGTTATTTACCTAGTAGTCATTCAGGAGCAGGTTGTTCAGTTTCTATATAGTTGTGTGATTTTGCATGAGTTTCTTAATCCTGAGTTCTAATTTGATTGCACTGTGGTCTGAGAGACTGTTTGTTATGATTTCTGTTCTTTTGCTTCTGCTGAGAAGTGTTTTACTTCCAATTATGTGGTCAATTTTAGAGTAAGTGTGATGTGGTGCTGAGAAAAATGTATATTCTGTTGATTTGGGGTAGACAGTTCTGTAGATGTCTATTAGGTCCACTTGGTCCAGAGCTGAGTTCAAGTCTTGAATATTCTTTTTAATTTTGTCTTGTTGATCTGTCTAATAATGACAGTGGGGTGTTAAATTCTCCCACTATTATTGTGTGGGAGTCTAAGTCTATTTGTATGTCTCTAAGAACTTGCTTTATGAATCTGGTTGCTCTTTATTGGGTGCATATATATTTGGGATAGTTGGCTCTTCTTGTTTCATGATCCCTTTACCGTTATGTAATGCCGTTCTTTGTCTCTTTTGATCTTTGTTGGTTTAAAGTCTATTTGATAAGAGACTAGAATTGCAACCCCTGCTTCTTTTTGCTTTCCATTTGCTTGGTATATATTTTTCCATCCCTTTATTTTGAGCCTACGTGTGTCTTTGCATGTGAGATGGGTCTCCTGGATACAGCACACTGATGGGTCTTGACTTTTATTCAATTTGTCAGTCTGTGTCTTTTAATTGGGGCATTTAGCCTGTTTACACTTAAGGTTAATATTGTTATGTGTGAATTTGATCCTCTCATTATGATGCTAGGTGGTTATTTTGCCCATTAGTTGAAGCAGTTTCTTCATAGTGTCGATAGTCTTTACAATTTGTTATGTTTTTGCAGTTGCTTGTACCGGTTTTTCATTTCCATGTTTAGTGCTTCCTTCAGGAGCTCTTGCCAGGCAGGCCTGGTGGTGACAAAATTCCACAGCATTTGCTTGTCTGTAAAAGATTTTATTTCTCCTTTGCTTATGAAGGGTAGTTTGGCTGGATGTAAAATTCTGGGTTGAATTTTTTGAGATGGAGTCTGGCTCTGTCACTCAGGCTGGATTGCAGTGGTGCGATCTCGGCTCACTGCAACATTCGCCTCCTGGGTTCAAGCGATTCTCCTGCCTCAGCCTTCCAAGTAGCTGGGAGTACAGGCATGCGCCACCATGCCCAGTTAATTTTTGTATTTTTAGTAGAGACGGGGTTTCACCATGTTGGCCAGGATGGTCTCCATCTCTTGACCTCAAGATCTGCCTGCCTCGGCCTTCTAAAGAGCTTGGATTACAGGTGTGAGCCACCACGTCTGGCTGAGATTCCATATAAATTTTTTATATTTTCAACTTTTAAGTGCAGGTGTACATGTACAGGATGTGCAAGTTTGTTAATTAAATGTGTGTTGTATACCTATGTTGTTTGTTATATAGGTAAACTATGGTGGTTTGCTGCACAGATTATCTCTTTTGTTAATCTGTTAATGGATGTTAGGTATTAAGCCCAACATCCATTAACTATTCTACTAGATACTCTCACTCCTCCTACTCCCCAGCCTCTGAAAGGCCCCAGTGTGTGTTGCTTCCCCACATGTGTTCATGTGTTCTCATTATTCAGCTCCCACCTATAAGTGAGACAACATAATATCTGGATTTCTGTTCCTGTGTTAGTTTGCTGAGGATAATATCTTTCAGCTTCATTTATGTCTCTGCAAAGGACACGATCTTTCTCCCTTTTATGGCTGCATAGTATTCCATGGTGTGTATGTACCACATTTTCCTTGCAGTTTATAATAGATGAACATTTAGTCTGATGTCATGTCTTTGCTATTGTGAATGGTGCTAGTGCTGCAGTGAACATACATGTGCATGTATCTTTATAATAGAATGATTTATATTTCTTTGGGTGTATACGGTATATATCTGCCTCTAGGTCTTTGAGGAATTGTCACATTGTCTTGCACAGTGGTTGAACTAATTTACACTTCCATCAACAGTGTAAAAGCATTCCTTTTTCTCCACTATCTTGCCTTTACGATGTATTTTATTTTCCTGCAAAAAGAGAAAGTTACTGAGATTGCATTGGCTTTGTAGATCACTTTGATTAGTATTGATATAATAACTATTTGGTCTTCTAATCCATGAACAAAAATGTCTTTTTATCCATCTCCTCTTTTTCTAGGTTGTGAGCATAAAGGTGTTTTAGTAGCCTCAAACTGTCTTTTGTATTTCTGTAGTATCAGTTTTATTATCTCCCATTTTGTTTCTAATTGAGCTTATTTGGCTCTTCTCTCTTCTTTTCTTGGTTAAACTCACTAATTGTCTATCAATTTTCTTTATCTTTCCAAAGGACCAGTTTTTGTGTCATTTATGTTTTTTATATTTATTTATTTATTTATTTATTTATTTTGAGATGGAGTCTCGCTCTGTCACCCAGGCTGGAGTGCAGTGGCGTGATCTTCGCTCACTGCAAGTTCCACCTCCTGGGTTCATGCCATTCTCCTGCCTCAGCCTCCCGAGTAGCTGGGACTACAGGTGCCTGCCATTAAGCCTGGCTAATTTTTTTGTATTTTTAGTAGAGACGGGGTTTCACCATGTTAGCCAGGATGGTCTCAATCTCCTGACCTCGTCATCCGCCCTCCTCAGCCTCCCAAAGTGCTGGGATTACAGGCCTGAGCCACCGCGCCTAGCCTTTTTTATTTATTTCTTTCAATTTTATTTTATTTAGATCTGCTTTAATCTTTGTCATTTCTTTTTCTTTCTTTTTTTTTTTTCCTGCTGGGTTTGGTTTTGGTTTGTTCTTGTTTCCCTAGTTCCTTGAGGTATGACATTAGTTTGTCGATTTGTGCTCTTTCAGACTTTTTGATGTTTGCATTTAATGGTATAAACTTTTCTTTTAGCACTGCTTTTAGGACTAATATCCAGAATCTGCCAAAAAATCAAACAAATCAGCAAAAAAAGTAAATAATCTCATCAAAAATGCACAAAATACATGAATAGACAATTTTCAGTAGGAGATATACAAATGGTCAATGAACACATGGAAAATGCTCAGCATTATTAGTAATCAGGTAATGCAAATTAAAACTACAATGTAATACTACTTTACTCCTGCAAGAATACCCATAATTACATAACATTAAAAAAATAAATATTGACATGGATGTGATAAAAAGAGAACACTTCTACACTGTGGGTGGAAAGATAAACTAGTACAACCACTATGAAAAACAGTATGGAGATTCCCTAAAGAACTAAAAGTAAAGCTATTATTCAATCCAGCAATCTCACTACTGGTTATCTCCCCAAAGGAAAAGAAGTCACATGCATGTTTATATCAGCAGAATTTGCAATTGCAAAAATATGAGACCAGTGTAAATTTTCATCAACCAATGAGTAGATAAAGAAAATGTGATATATATATATATATCCAAATATATATATCACATATATATATATATATATATATATATACACACACACTCACACACACACACACACACCATGGAATACTACTCAGCCATAGAAAGAAACAAAATAATGGCATTCTTAGCAAACTAGATGGAGTTGGAGACCATTATCTTAAGTGAAATAACACAAGAATGAAAAACCAAATATTGTGTATCTCACTCATAAATTAAAGCTGAGTTATAAAGATAAAAAAGGCATAAGAATAATATAATGGATTTTGGGGACGTGGGGAAAGGTGTGAGGTGGGTGAGGGGGAAAAGACTACACATTGGGCGTAGTGTACACTGATCGGGTAATGGATTCATCAAAATCTCAGGAATCACCACTAAAGAACTTATCTATGTAACTGAAACTTAACTATTCCCCCAAAAATATTGAAATAAAATAAAATAAAATAAAGTAAAAAGTAAATATTAACACCAATCCTTCTCAAACTTTTAACAATTGAAAAAGAGAAAAAGCTACTGAATTCATTTTATGAGGCCAGAATTAACCTGATACCAAAGCCAAATAATAACACTACAAGAAAAGAAAACTACAGACCAATATTCTTGATGAATATTGATGCAAATATCCTCAACAAAATAATAGCAAATACAATTCAATAGCACATTATAAGGATGATATACCATGACAAAGTGGCATTTATTCCTAGAATGCAGGGATGTTTCAACCTATGAAAATAAATTAGTGTAATACACCACATTATTATGATGATGGAAAAAAGAAACACATAAAAATTTCAATCAATGATTGGGACAAATTTTTTGAAAAAATTCAAGGTGGTTTTAAGACAAAAACATTTAACAGTCTAAGAATGGAAAGAAACTGCCTCAACATAATAAAAACCATATAAGAAAAGCCCACAGCTAACATTGTACTCAAGGGTAAAAGACAAAAACCTTTCCCTCTAAAAACAGAAACAAGTCGGAAATGCCCAATCCTTTTTATTAGTATTATTATTATACTTTTTTTAAGTTCTGGGGTACATGTGCAGAACGTGCAGGTTTGTTACATAGGTATACACGTGCCATGGTGGTTTGCTGCACCCATCAACCCGTCATCTACATTAAGTATTTATCCTAATGCTATCCCTCCCCCAGCCCTACCTCCGACAGGCCCTGGTGTATGCTACTCCCACCCCCATGTCCATGTGTTCTAAGTGTTCAACTCCCACTTATGAGTGAGAACATGCAATGTTTGGTTTTCTGTTCTTGTGATAGTTTGCTCAGAATGATGGTTGCCGGCTTCATCCATGTCCCTGCAAAGGACATGAACACATCCTTTTTTATGGCTGCATAGTATTTCATGGTGTGTATATGCCACATTTTCTTTATCCAGTCTATCTATCATTGATGGGCATTTGGGTTGGTTCCAAGTCTTAGCTATTGTGAACAGTGCCACAATAAACATACTTGTGTATGTGTCTTCATAGTAGAATGATTTATAATCCTTTGGGTATATACCCAGTAATGAGATTGCTGGGTCAAATGGTATTTCTAGTTCTAGATCCTTGAGGAATCACCACACTGTTTTCCACAATGGTTGAACTAATTTACACTCCCACCAACAGTGTAAAAGCGTTCCTATTTCTCCACATCCTCTCTAGCATCTGTTGTTTCCTGACTTTTTCATGAACACCATTCTAACTGGTGTGAGATGGTATCTCACTGTGGTTTTGGTTTGCATTTCTCTAATGACCAGTGATGACAAGCTTTTTTTATATGATTGTAGGCCACATAAATGTCAAAAGTGTCTGTTCATATCCTTCACCCACTTTTTGATAGGGTTGTTTTTTCTTGTAAATTTGTTTAAATTCCTTGTAGATTCTGGATATTAGTCCTTTGTCAGATGGATAGATTGCAAAAATTTTCTCCCATTCTGTAGGTTGCCTGTTCACTCTGATGATAGTTTCTTTTGCTGCACAGAATCTCTTTAGTTTATTTAACTCCCATTTGTCAATTTTGGCTTCTGTTGCCATTGCTTTTGGTGTTTTAGTCATGAAGTCTTTGCCCAGGCCTATGTCCTGAATAGTATTGGCTAGGTTTTCTTCTAGGGTTTTTATGGTTTTAGGTCTTACATTTAAGTCTTTAATCCATCTTGAGTTAATTTTTGTAGAAGGTGTAAGGAAGGGATATAGTTTCAGTCTGCATATGGCTAGCCAGTTTTCCCAACACCATTTATTAAATAAGGAATCTGTTCCCCATTGCTTGTTTTTGTCAAGTTTGTCAAAAATCAGATGGTTGTAGATGTGTGGTGTTATTTCTTAGGCCTCTGTTCTGTCCTGTTGGTCTATATATCTGTTTTGGTACCAGTACCATGCTGTTTTGGTTACTGTAGCCTTGTAGTACAGTTTGAAGTCAGGTAGCAAGATGCCTCCAGCTTTGTTCTTTTTGGTTAGGATTATCTTGGCTCTGTGTGCTCTGTTTTGGTTCCATATGAAATGTGAAGTAGTTTTTTCCAGTTCTCTGAAGAAAGTCAATGGTAGCTTGATGGGGATAGCATTGAATCTATACATTACTTTGGGCAGTATGGCCATTTTCACGATATTGATTCTTCCTATCCATGAGCATGGAATGTTTTTCCATTTGTTTGTGTCCTCTCTTATTTCCTTGAGCAGTGGTTTGTAGTTCTCCTTGAAGAGGTCCTTCACATCCCTTGTAAGCTGTATTCTTAGGTATTTTATTCTCTTTGTAGCAATTGCAAATGGGAGTTCGCTCATGTTTTGGCTCTCTGTTTGTTATTGGTGTATAGGAGTGCTTGTGATTTTTGCACATTGATTTTTCATCCTGAGACCTTGCTGAAGGTCTGCTACTCCTTCTGTACATGGTACTGGAAGTCCTAGTCAGAGCAATTAGGCAAGAGGAAATAAAATGAATCCAATTCAGAAAGAAGTAAGTAAAATCTGTTTTCAGATCACATAATATTATAAGTAGAAAACCCTAAAGGTTCCACAAAAGGTTTTAAAACAAATTCAGTAAAATTTTAGGTCACGAATCAACATTACAAAGTCATTTTCATTTCTATACATCAACAATAAACAATCTGGAGAGAAAGAAGTTACACATTTGTACACTGAAAACTACAACATATTGTTGAAACTAATGTCATACCTCAAGGAAGTAGAGAAACAAGAAAAACCGAAACCAAAACCAAACCCAGGGGAAAAAAAGAATAGACAAAGATTGAAGCATATCTAGATAAAATGTAAAGAAAAAATAAAAAGATAAATGAAACAAAAAGCTGGTTCTTTGAAAAGGTAAACAAAATTGACAGACTATCATTGAGATTAACCAAGAAAATAAGAGAGAAGACCCAAATAAGCTCAATTATAAACAAAATGGGAGATAATAAAACTGATACCACAGAAAACCAAAAGACCTTTTGAGTCTACTAAAACACCTTTATGATCACAACCTAGAAAACCTAGAGGAGATGGATAACATTTTAGAAATATACAACACTTCTACATTAAATCAGGAAGAAATATAAACTGAACAGGTCAATAATGAGCAGTGGGTCTGAAAACAGCAATAAAAAACTGCCAAAGAAAAAAGTGCAGGAGCAGATGCATTCACAGCTGAATTCTGTTAGATATTCAAGAAAGAAGTGATACCAGTTCTACTGAAACAAATCCAAAAGGTAGAACAAGATGAAATCCTTCCTGTATCATTCTATTTAACCACTATCACCCTAATACCAAGACAAGGGAAAGACATAACAAAAAGAAAACTACAGACCAATATCCCTCATGAAGATAGATGCAAAAATTCTCAACAAAATACTAGCTAATTGAATCCAACAGTATATCAAAAAGTTTATACATTATGATCAAGTGGGTTTCATACCAGAAAGGGAGGGAGAATTTAACACATGCAAGTCAATAAATGTAATACATAACATAAACAGAATTTAAAAAAATCATATTATCATCTCAATAGATGCAGAGAAAGCATTTGATAAAATTCAGCATCTCCTTATGTTAAAAACTCTCAACAAAATTGGCATATAAGAAACATACTTCCACATAATAAAATTTATCTATGACATACCCACAGCCAATATCATACTGAATGGGAAAAATTAGAAAGCACTCCCCCTGAGAATTGGACCAAACCAAGGATGCTGACTTTCACCAATTCTATTCAGCATAGTACTGGAAGTCCTAGCCAGAGCAATAAGATGAGAGAAAGAAATAAAGGACATCTAAATTGGGAAAGAAGAAGTAAAACTATTGCTGTCCTTTGGTGATACAATTTTACACCTAGAAAACCCTAAAGACTAATCCAAAAAGCTCCTAGATCTGTTGAATAAATTTAGTAAAATTTCAGGATATAAAATCAATGTACACAAAGTAGGAGCACTGCTATACACCAACAGAAACAAAAATGAGAATAAAATCAAGGACTTAACCCCTTTTACTATAGCTGTGAGAAGATAAAATACTTAGGAATATACTTGACAAAGGAGGTGAAAGATTTCTACAAAGAAAAGTACAATACACTGCTGAAAGAAATCATAGATGACACAAAGAAATGGAAACACAGCCCATGCTCATTGATCAGTAGAATCAATATTGTGAAAATGATCATACTGCCAAAACAATCTATAAATTGAATGCAATTCTCATCAAAATACCAGCATCGTTCTTCACGGAGCTGGAAAAAAACAATTCTAAAATTCATATGGAACCAAAAAAGAGCCTGCATAACCAAAGTTAGACCAAGTGAGAAACAACAGCAACCAATCTGGAGGCATCACATCATCAGGCTTCAAACTATATGTCTATATTTACCAAAACAACATGGCACTGGTATAAAAACAGGCATGTAGACCAATGGAAGAGAGTAGAGAACCCAGAAATATAGCCAAATGCCCACAGCCAATTGATCTTCAACAAAGCAAACAAAAACATAAAGTGGGGAAAGGACATCCTATTCAACAAATGCTGCTGAGATTATTGGCAAGTCACATGTAGAAGAATAAAACTGGATCTTCATCTCTCACCTTATGCCAAAATCAACCCAAGTGGATCAAAGACATAAATCTAAGACCTAAAAACATAAAAATTCTACAAGATAACATCAGAAAAACCCTTCTAGACATTGAATTAGGCAGAGTTCATGACCAAGCACCCAAAAGCAAATGCAACAAAAACAAAAATAAATAGATGGGACTTCATTAAACTAAAAAACTTCTGCACACCCAAAGAAATAATCAGCAGAGTAAACAGACAACCCATGGAGTGGGAAAAAATATTTGAAACTCTACATCTGACAAAGAACTAATATCCAGAATCTACAAAGAATTCAAACAAATCAGCAAGAAAAAAATATAATAATTCCATCAAAAAGTAGGCTAAGGACATGAATGGACAATTCTTAAAAGAAGATATACAAATGGTAAACAAACATTTAAAAATGCTCAAAATTAATAAATGTCAGGGAAATGCAAATCAAAACCACAGTGCAATGCCACCTTATTCCTTCAAGAATGGTCATAATAAAAAAAATTAAAAATAATGGATGTTGGCATAAATGTGGTGAAAAAGAAACACTTTTCCACTGCTGGTGTGTATGTAAATTAGTACAACCACTATGAAATACAGTATGGAGATTTCTTAAAGTACTAAAAGTAGAGCTACCATTTGATACAGCAATCCCACTATGGGTATCTACCCAGAGGAAAATAAGCCATTATATGAAAAACACACTTGCACACACCTTTACAGCAGCACAGTTCACAATTGCAAAAATATGGAACCAACGCTAATGCCCATCAATCAATGAGTCAATAAAGAAAATGTGATTATATATATATATATATATATATATATATATATATATATATATATATATATATGAATGCTATTCAGCCCAATGAATAAATAAAATAATGGCATTCACAGCAACCTGGATGGAGTTGGAGACCATTATTCTAAGTAAAGTAACTCAGGAATGGAAAACCAAACATCGTATATTCTCACTTAAAAGTGGGAGCTAAACTATGAGGACGCAGACATAAGAATGATATAATGAACTCTGGGGACTCAGGGGGAAGGATAAGAGATGCATTGAGGCATAAAAGACTACACATTGGGTGCAGTGTATACTCCTTGGGTTATGGGTGCACCAAAATCTCAGAAATCACCACCAAAGAACATATTCATGTAACTAAACACCACCTTTTTCTTCAAAACTATTGAAATTGAAAGATAAAAAAAGATTGGCTATTGTCACAAAGAGAACAATAATAAATCTTGCAAGGATGCAAATATGGGTCTCTCAATCACTATTGATGGGAATGTAAATTAGTATGGTTATTTTGAAAAACAGTATGGAGTTTCCCTAAAAAGGTAAAAATATATCTGCCTTATGATCCAGCAATTCCACTACTGGGTATTTACCCAAAAGAAAGAAAATTGGCATGTCAAAGTTTGCACTCCCATGTTTACTGCAGCACTATTTACAATAGCCAAGAATATTTGAATCAACCTGCATTCACAACCACACAAATGGTTTAGGAGCATGTGGTATATATACATATTAGAAAACTAAAATTTGTTCTTTCATGGCAACATAGATGAGCTTGGTGGGCATTATGTTAAGTGAAATAAGTCAGGTATAGAAAGACAAATACTACATGTTCTCACTGATAAGTGGAAGCTAAACAATTGGTCTTATAAAAGTATAGAGTAGAATAGTAGTTGCTAGAGACCAGAAAGGGTAAGGGTACGGGGCTATAGGGAGAAGTTGGTTAATAGATACAAAACTACAGTTAGATAGGAGAAAGAGTTTTTAGTTTTCTATAGCACTGTAGAGTGACTATGGTAAACAATAATTTATCGTACTTTTTCGAATAGCTAGAGAATAGGATTTTGACTATTCCCAAAACAAAGAAATAATAAAAATTTGAGGTGATGAATATGCTAACCACCCTAATTTGATTATTATACATTGTATTCATGTATTGAAATATCACATTGTACTCCATAAACATGTACAGTCATTGCACATTGATTAAAAGGTATATTTAAAATAAATACTAACAATTTAAAAAAATAATTTATTGAGGTAAAATTTACATAACAAAATGACGCATTGTAAAGTGAACAAAGTGAAAATTGCATTTAGCAATAATGTGCAACCCCCACCTCTACCTGGTTCCAAAATATTTTCATCATTCCCAAGTAAAACCACTTACTCATTAAGTGGTTTCTCTCATTGCTCTCTCTTCCTAGACTCTGCCAACTATCAGCATACATTGTATCTGTGGATTTCTCTATGCTGAATATTTTATATAAATTTCATCATACAATATGTTTCCCTTTGTGATTGATATCTCTCATTGAGAATGATGCTTTGGTGGTTCATCCACATTACAGCATTTATTACCAGTTTATTTTTACAGCTAAATTATATATATATATATCTTATATAAAATTTCATTTATCATTTCTTCTCTTATGAATATTTGGTTGTTTTCACCTTTGAACTGTTGTGAATAATGTTACTATAATATTGGTGTTCAAATATCTGTTTTAGTGCCAGCTTTCAAGTCTTTAAGGTATATAGCTAGTAGTGGGATTGGAGGGTCATAGGTAATTCCATGTTTGTTTGACTTTTTGAGGAACAGCTAAATTGCTATCTAAAAAGGTTACACCATTTTACAAACTCACTATCAATGTACAATAGTTCCAATTGTTCCACATTATCTTCAACACATTTTAATTTTCATTTTTATTATAGCTATATTAATATGTATGATGAGGTATTCAATTGTATTTTTGATTTGCATTTTCCTAATTTATAATAATTTTAAGCATCTTTTTAGATGCTTATTGGTGATTTGTATCTCTTCCTTGGAGAAATTTATATTTAAGTCTTTTCTCCATTTCTGAATTGGGTAATTTATCTTTTGTTGACCTAGTTGTAGGAATTGTTTATGTAATATGGATCCTATATCTTATCAGATATATTATTTTCAAATATTTTCTTCCATTACATAGGTTATCTTTATAGTTTTTATATTGAACTTTGATGCACAAAAGTTTTAAATTTTGATGGTCTATTTATTTATTTTTTATTTATGTATTCTTCTTTTGTTGCTTATTCCTTGGTGTCATATTTAAGATTCCACTGCTGCAACCAAAGTATTAAAAGTTTACTTATATGTTTTCTTCTAAGAGAGTTATAATTTTAGCTGTTATATTTAGGTCATTAATTCATATTGAATTAATTTTTATATACTGTGAATTAGAGTTCCAAATTCATTTTTTTTGCATGCAGATATCCAATTATCACGTCATAATTTGGCCTCCCAAAGTGCTGGGATTACAGGCGTGAGCCACCACGCCTGGCCTTTTGTGTTTATTTTATATTTGAAACTTTACCGGAATTTATTTGTTACCTCTAGTAGCTTTCTTTGTAGGTTTTTCTTTGTAAATTTTTTCTTTGTAGATTCTTTGTAGATTTATAGAGCTAACAGATTATGTCATCTGCAAATGTAAGTAGTTTTATCCTTCCTTTCCAGTTTGGTTGCATTTTATTCTTGCCCAGTTGCTCAGGCCAGAACATCCAACATGATACTGAATATCAGAGGTAAAAGCAGGCATCCATTTATGGTTCCTGAACTTAGAAGGAACACTTTTAGCATTTGAGGATTATGTAGCTGTGGGTTTTTCATAAATGTCCTTAATCAGATTGAGGGTATTTCCTTCTATTCTCAGAATTCCAAGTGTTTTAATTTTAAAAGAGTGTTAGATTTGTCAATATTTTTTCTGGAACAATTTTGAGTGTCTTTATAGCAGCACCCCACTTTACTGGTACCAATTTACTGTAGTAGTCCGTTTTCATGCTGCTGATAAAAAAATACCCTAAACTGGGTAATTTTAAAGAAAAAGAGGTTTAATGGACTCAAAATTCCACGTGGCTAAGGAGGCCTTATAATCATGGCAGAAGGCAAAAGGCATGTCTTACCTGGTGACAGACAAGAGACAATGAGAGCCAAGTTAAAGGGGTAACCCCTTATAGAACCATCAGATCTCTTGAGACTTATTCACTACCATGAGAACCGTATGAGCGGAACCACCCACATGATTGATTTATCTTCCACTGAGTCCCTCCCACAGCATATGAGAATTATGGGAGTTATAATTTAAGATGAGATTTGGGTGGAGACACAGCCAAACCATATCACATATATTATAATTATATATGAGACTGACATAATATATAATTATATATGAGACTCAAATCAAGAACTCAACTCCTTTTACAACAGCTACAAAAAATAAAATAAAATACTTAAGAATATATCTAAACAAGGAAGTGAAAGATTTCTACAAGGAAAACTACAAAACACTGCTGAAAGAAATCATAGATGACACAAACAAGTGAAAAAGCATCCAATGCTCATGGATAGGTAAGATCAATAATATTGTAACTATGACCATACTGCCAAAATAATCTATAAATTTAATGTGATTCCCATCAAAATACCATCATCATTCTTCACCTTACTAGAAAAACAATCCTGAAATTCATATGGAACCAAAAAAGAGCCTACATAGAATTATTAGCAATTCCTTTTCTAGTTATATACCAAAAATAATTGAAAGCAGTTGCTTGAACAGATATTAGTACACACATATTCATAGCATCATTATTTACAATAAACAAAATGTGGAAGCAATCCAAGTATTCATCAAATATGAATAGATAAACTAAATTTGGTACATACACATGATGCAGTATTACCCAGCCTTAAAAAGCAGCAAAATTCTGACATATGCTACAAAATAGAAGAGGTATATAAAGTAGTCAAATTCATACATTGGGGGTATCTAGGTCTTGAGGGAAGTGTAGAATGGGGAGGTATTTTATGAATATGGAGTTTCAGCTTGGGAAGATGAAAATATTTTGTAGGTGGTGGTGGTAATTATTGCACAACAATGTGATATACTAAATGCTAATAAACTTTCTTAAAAAGGGTCAAAATGTTTTTAAAAATACAAAGGGTCAAAATTGTGCACTTAATGCTATGTAACTTTTACCACATAAAGTGATCTCAAACAAAAACTCTGATTTTACACTAAGGCAGTAAAAAATAGTATCAAACTAAATCTAAATGTCAGTAGAACATTTAGTGCTATAACTTTACTTGATATTAGTAATTGCAGAAAATATTAACTATTATTATTATTTTACTCCTTTGTTATTTATCTACAGGTCAAGGCTGAATCAACATATATGCCCTATCTTTGGACTGAATTGATTGGTTAACTGAATAATTTAGTCAAAACAATTGTGAATTTGAGACATTTATATCACTCCTTTTTCCAACATGATGTTTTCTGCTTGGCTGATTTGAAATTTTGGATGGGTGAGAAAAATCTATACTACTATGACTGAATGTTTATTTATATATTTATTTATTGAGCATTAATTTTTTAAATTCTGACAATACACATGATGTGATGTATACCTTCTTTAAAAATATTAATTGTATATTATTGTTACTATCTGTGCACTGTTGTACAGCAGATTGCTAGAACTTTTTCACCTTGTATGACTGAAATTTTCTACCAATCAAACTGCAACTAATTGCCCCCCTCCCAGCCCCTGGCAAGCACCATTCTACCATCTGCTTCAATGAATTTGACTACTTACTTAAGATACTTCACATAAGTGGAACTATGCGGCATTTGTCTTTTTGTGACGGGTTTATTTCAGTTAGCATAATGTCCTCAAAATCCATGTTGCAGAATTGTATGTGACAGAATTTTCTTATTTTTTAAACCTGAATAGCATTTCACTGTGTGTACATAATATTAATACATTTTCTTTATTAATTTATCCATTGATGGACATTCAGTTTGTTTCTACCTCTTCGCTAATGTGAATAATGCTGCAATAAACATGGCACAAAAATATCTTTCTGAGATATGTTTTTAATTACTTTAAGCTAGCAGAAGGAAAAAAATAATAAAGATTAAAGATTATTAGAAACTAGAAAAAGCACTAAATAAAATCAATGTAATCAAATATTAGTCCTTCAAAAATTATTAACAAAATAAACCTTTAGCAAGACTTACTTAGAAAAAAGACTCAAATTCCTTAAATGAGAAATAAATGCAGAAACTATCTCCCTTAAAGAAATAAATATACTTAGAATATTATGAACAATTTTACACCAACATTTATATAACCTACATGAAATTGACAGAGTATTGAAAACACAGAAACTACCAATACTATTTCAAAAAATAAAATAAAATCTAAAAGTCCTGTAACAAGGGAAGAGTTTTAATCCAAGTTTTTTTATTAAAATAAAAATAATATTTAAAAACATCAGAATTAGATGGCTTCACTAGTGAATTATATGAATCACTTAAAAGGCAATTAAAAATAATAACTAAAAATTCTTCCAAAAGAATAAAAGAGAAGGCAACACATCCTACCTGATTCCACTAGGCCAATATTATACTGATGCCAAAGGGACAGAAAAACATTATAAGAAAAGAAAACTGCAGAGCAATAGCCCTTATTTAGTACAGTTGCAAAATTTTCAACAAGTACTAACAAACTAAATGAGGCAGCATATTAGAAGGATTATATGCTATCAACAACTGGGATTTATCCCATGAGTGCAAGAGTGGTTCAGCATATAAAAATCAATGAATGCAATATGCTACCTTAATAGAGTAAAGGAAAAAAAAGCACATAATCATCTCAATTGCTAAATAAAAAGCATTTGACAAAATAAAACTTTTTTTCATAATAAAACTCAACAAACTAGGACTAGAAGGACACTTTTTCAATACGAAAAAGGGCATATACAAAAGAAAAAAAGTGACATTATACTTAATTATTAACTGAAATATTTCTCCTTAAGATCAGGAAGAAGACAAGGATGCTACGTTTCACCAAATATTTAGCATAATATTGGAAGTAACATTAAGAAAGAATAAGAGATAAAAAGCATCCAAATAGAAGAAAAAAGAAGTAAAACAATCTCTATTTGCAGATAGCATGATTCTGTATATAAAAAGCAGCAAATAACTTGCAAAAATTAGAATACATAAATGAATTCAGAAAAATTTTAAGTTACAAAATCAACATGCAAAACTAGTTTTCTTATTAGTCAAAATGATGATTCCAAAAGAAGAAGTAAAGAAAACAATTTTATTACAATAAGGTTCAAAATAGTAAAATGCTTAGAAGTACTTGAAGGAGTTGTTAGAATTATGCACAGAATGTTGGAAAACTTTGTGGAAGAAGTTATATTTGACCTAAATTAATAAACAGATACCCTATGTTTATGCACTAAATATTATATTTTTATAACGGTAATGTCAACGGAAGGCATCAAACTTTGTAAAATAATTGGAGAGATTTATTCTGAGCCAAATATAAAGCTATCACCTATGGCACAGCCACAGAAGGCCCTGAGAACATGTGCCCATGGTGGTTGGGCTACAGCTTGAGTTTATACATTTTAGGGAGACATAAGACATCAATCAACACACGTAAGATGTACATTGTTTTGGTATAGAAAGGTGGGACAACTTGAAGCAGGGGTGAGAGGAGGCCTTCCAGGCCATAGGTAGATTCAAAATTTTTCTGATTAGGAACTGGATGAAAGAGTTGAAAGAAACGTCTGGATTAAGATCAGAGGTTGTGAAGACCAAGGTTTTATCATGCAGATGAAGACTTCAGAAACCAAGCTTCAGAGCTCTTATGAGATCTACAAAGTTGCCAGACCTTTAGTTAGTTCTCTTCCGAATCAGGGAAAAGACCTGAAAAGGGAAGAGAATTCTCTACAGAATGTAGATTTTCCCAACAAGAGACAGCTTTACAGGGCCATCCCAGTACGTATCAAAGAAATATATTTTGGGATAAAATATTTCAATTTCTTTCATAACCTTCTATCTTTCATGAGACACTATACTAAAGCCAGGTTGAAATTTGTTGTCTCATTGCTAAAAAGTGTCTGCTTTGTCAGTCTTAAAATCTCTGTTTAAATGTTAAAACTGGTCAGCTTTGCTGGACTTCCAAACAGAGGAGAGTATAAAGTATGTGTGACTCTCCCTGAACTAGATTTTCAGGAGGGTCTCAGCTAGATTTTCAGGTTAACTTTGGAAGTCCTTGGCCAAGGAAGTGGGAGTACATCAATCAGTTAAGAGAAGTAGAATTTTATATTTGGTATAGAGCAATACTCTACAAAGAAATATACAGATATAATTCAACCCCTACAAAAATTTTGCAGCCTCTTTTTTTAAATAGAAAAATAAAATATGTTCATGTGGACATAGAGAGCGGAATAATAAATAAAGGAGACTCAGAAGGGTGAGAGGGTGGTAGGGAGAGAATAATGAGAAATTGGCTAATGGCTACAATGTACATTATTCGGGTGATGGATAACTTAGAATTCCTTACTAGACTACTATGAAATTTATGCATGTAGCAAAATTGCACATATATCCCATGAGTTTGTACAAATGAAAAGTAGAAAAACAAAACGAAAAACATACAATTTATATTTACTTACAAAGGACCGGGAATATTCAAAACTATAATGAAAAAGAACAATGTTGGAGGACACATACATTCAAATTTCAAAAGTTACTACTAAGCTACAGTAATAAAATAATGATAGTGACATAAGCATAGATATACAGGTCAATGGAATGGAATTAGGAATGCAGAAAGAAATCCACACAACTGTGGTGAATTGATTTTCAACAGGAATGTCAAGACCATACAATGAAAAATTACAATTCCTTCAACAAATTGGGCTGGGACAACTGGATATCCACATGAAAAATAATAAAGTTGGGCCCACACCATGCATAATACAAAAATTTATACAAAATTTCTAGTTCAACCTTGATAGGTTGCATGTGTCTAGGAATTTGTTAATTTCTTCTAGATTTTTCAATTTATTGGCATATAGTTGCTCATAGTAGCCTCTATTGATCCTTTTGATTCCTGCAGTATCAGTAGTAATGTTTCCTTTTTCAGCTCTGATTTTATTTTGGTCTTCTCTCTTTAGTTAGTCTTACTAAAGGTATTTCAATCTTGTTTGACTTTTCAAAAAAAAACAACTTTTTGTTTCATTGGTTTTTGTATTGTTTTCTTCATTTCAGTTTTGTTTATTTATGTTGTGGTCTTTAATATTTCTTTTTTTCTACTAATTTTTGGTTTGGTTTGCTCTTACTTTTCTAGTTCTTTTAGATACATTGTTGGGTTGTTTATTTGAAGCTTTTCTCTTTTTTTGATGTATGTACTTATAGCTATTAACTTTTCACTTTGTACTGCTTTTGCTGCACCCCATAAGTTTTGGTATGTTGTGTCTCTGTTTGTTTGAAGAAAATTTTTAATTTTCTTTTTAATTTCTTCATAGACCACTGGTCATTCAGGAGCATATTGTTTAATTTCCATGTGTTTATATAGTTTCTAAAATTCATCTTCTTTTTGATTTCTAGTTTTATTCCATTGTGGTCAGAGAAGATGCTTCACATTATTTCAAATTTTTTGACTGTTATAACACTTGCTGTATGACCTAACATGTGTCCTACCCTTGAGAATAATCCATGTGCCGAAGAAAAGATCAGTCTAATGCTGAAAGTGGGGTGTTGAAGTACCCAGCTGTTATTGTATTCATGCCTCTCTCTCTCTCTTTAACTCTAATGATATTTGCTTTATGTATCTGAATGCTCCAACTCTGAGTGTAAACTTACTTAAAATTTTTGTATCCTTTTGGTGAATGGACTCTTTTATCATTATATAGTGACCTTCTTTGTCTCTTCTTAATGATTTTTCTTGAAATCTATTTTGTCTTATATGTGTATAGATGCTCTGCCTCTCTTTCAGTTTCTGTTGGTATGGCACATCTTTCTTCATCCCTTTATTTTCCATCTGTGTGTGTCTTTATTGGAGAAGTGTATTTCTTATAGGCAAAAGGTCATTGTGTCTTTTTTATATATTCATTCAGTCACGCTAGTCTATCAGGTTTAGTCCATTTATATTTAATGTTATTATTGCTAAGTAAAGATAAACTCCTGATTGTTTTGTGGTCTTCTCTTTCTAATTTCTTTTGTTCCTGTCTTCCTTTCAGTGAAGGTGATTTTCTTTGGTGTTATGGTTTAGTTTCTTACTTGTTATTTTTTGTTTATTCATCACATTTTTTTTTATATTACCATGAGGCTTCCAAATATAATCTTACACTCCATTATTTAAAGTTGATAACACCTTAACCCTGTTTGCACACATAAAAAACAAGCCAGTAAAAAGAAAACTAACAAAGACTCTAAGTCTTAATTTTGTCCTCCAACTTTTTAATTTTTTGTTTTTACTATTTATATCTTATTGTAACATTTATATCTTGAAAAGCTGTTATAGGTCATTATTCTTCATTATTCTTCATGACCTTAAGTTGTTTAGTTTTTCTACTTAAGAATAGTTTGCACACCACAGTTACAGTGTTACAGTATTTTGTGTTTGTCTGAGTACTTACTATTGCCAGTGAGTTTTGTACATTCAGATGATTTTCTTTTTTAAACTTTTTTGCTGTGTTCCGGTATACATGTACAAGTTTGTGGAATAGGTAAACCCATGTTATGAGGGTTTGTTGTACTGATTTTTTTTTATCACACATGTATTAAACCTAGTACCCATTTGTTATTTTTCCTGATTCTCTCCCAGCTCCCACCTCTACCCTCTGGTTATCCCCAGTGTCTCTTATTTCCCTCTATGTGTCCATGTAGTCTCATCATTTAGCTCCTATTTGTGAGAACATGCGGTATTTGGTTTTCTGTTCTTAAATTAGTTTCCTAAGGATTATAGACTCCAGCTCCATTCAGGTCCTTGCAAAGGACATAATGTCATTTTTTATGACTGTATAGTATTTCATGATGTATGTATACCACATTTTCTTTTCCTAGTCTACCATTGATGGGTATTTAGGTTGATTCCATCTCTTTGTTACAGTGAATAGTGCTGCAATGAACATACACATGAATTTGTTTTTATGACAGAATTACTTATATTCCTTTGGGTATATACTGAGTAATAGAATTTTTGGGTTGAATGGTAGTTCTGTTTTTCTTTCTTTGAGGAGCTGTCACACTGCTTTCTACAAAGGTTGGACTAATTTACAAACCCACCAACAGAATATAAGAGTTCCTTTGTCTCTGACAATTTGCCAGCATTTGTTATTTTTGACTTTTTAATAATGGCCATTTTAGCAAGTGTGAGATTGTATCTCATTGTGGTTTTGATTTGCATTTCTCTAATAATCAGTGACATTGAACTTATTTTTTCATATGTCTCTGGGCTGCATGTATGTCTTCTTTTGTTTTTTTGGTTTTTTTTTTTGCTTGTTTTTTTTAAATATTATTATACTTTAAGTTTTAGGGTACATGTGCACAATGTGCAGGTTAGTTACATATGTATACATGTGCCAGGCTGGTGCGCTGCACCCACTAACTCGTCATCTAGCATTAGGTATATCTCCCAATGCTATCCCTCCCCCCTCCCCCCACCCCAAAACAGTCCCCAGAGTGTGATATTCCCCTTCCTGTGTCCATGTGATCTCATTGTTCAATTCCCACCTATGAGTGAGAATATGCGGTGTTTGGTTTTTCGTTCTTGCGATAGTTTACTGAGAATGATGTTTTCCGATTTCATCCATGTCCCTACAAAGGACATGAACTCATCATTTTTTATGGCTGCATAGTATTCCATGGTGTATATGTGCCACATTTTCTGAATCCAGTCTATCATTGTTGGACATTTGGCTTGGTTCCAAGTCTTTGCTATTGTGAATAATGCCGCAATAAACATACGTGTGCATGTGTCTTTATAGCAGCATGATTTATAGTCCTTTGGGTATATACCCAGTAATGGGATGGCTGGGTCAAATGGTATTTCTAGTTCTAGATCCCTGAGGAATCGCCACACTGACCTCCACAATGGTTGAACTAGTTTACAGTCCCACCAACAGTATAAAAGTGTTCCTATTTCTCCACATCCTCTCCAGCACCTGTTGTTTCCTGACTTTTTAATGATTGCCATTCTAACTGGTGTGAGATGGTATCTCATTGTGGTTTTGATTTGCATTTCTCTGATGGCCAGTGATGGTGAGCATTTTTTCATGTGTTTTTGGCTGCATAAATGTCTTCTTTTGAGAAGTGTCTGTTCATGTCCTTTGCCCACTTTTTGATGGGGTTGTTTGTTTTTTTCTTGTAAATTTGTTTGAGTTCATTGTAGATTCTGGATACTAGCTCTTTGTCAGATGGGTAGGTTGCGAAAATTTTCTCCCATTTTGTAGGTTGCCTTTTCACTCTGATGGTAGTTTCTTTTGCTGTGCAGAAGCTCTTTAGTTTAATTAGATCCCATTTGTCAATTTTTGCTTTTGTTGCCATTGCTTTTGGTATTTTAGACATGAAGTCCTTGCCCATGCCTATGTCCTGAATGGTAATGCCTAGGTTTTCTTCTAGGGTTTTTATGGTTTTAGGTATAACGTTTAAGTCTTTAATCCATCTTGAATTGATTTTTGTATAAGGTGTAAGGAAGGGATCCAGTTTCAGCTTTCTACATATGGCTAGCCAGTTTTCCCAGCACCATTTATTAAATAGGGAATCCTTTCCCCATTGCTTGTTTTTCTCAGGTTTGTCAAAGATCAGATAGTTGTAGACATGCGGCATTATTTCTGAGGGCTCTGTTCTTTTCTATTGATCTATATCTCTGTTTTGGTACCAGTACCATGCTGCTTTGGTTACTGTAGCCTTGTAGTATAGTTTGAAGTCAGGTAGTGTGATGCCTCCAGCTTTGTTCTTTTGGCTTAGGATTGGCTCAGCAATGCGGGCTCTTTTTTGGTTCCATATGAACTTTAAAGTAGTTTTTTCCAATTCTGTGAAGAAAGTCATTGGTAGCTAGATGGGGATGGCATTGAATCTGTAAATTACCTTGGGCAGTATGGCCATTTTCACGATATTGATTCTTCCTACCCATGAGCATGGAATGTTCTTCCATTTGTTTGTATCCTCTTTTATTTCCTTGAGCAGTGGTTTGTAGTTCTCCTTGAAGAGGTCCTTCACATCCCTTGTAAGTTGGATTCCTAGGTATTTTATTCTCTTTGAAGCAATTGTGAATGAGAGTTCACTCATGATTTAGCTCATTGTTTGTCTGTTGCTGATGTATAAGAATGCTTGTGATTTTTGTACATTGATTTTGTATCCTGAGACTTTGCTGAAGTTGCTTATTAGCTTAAGGAGATTTTGGGCTGAGACAATGGGGTTTTCTAGATATACAATCATGTCGTCTGCAAACGGGGACAATTTGACTTCCTCTTTTCCTAATTGAATACCCTTTATTTCCTTCTCCTGCCTAATTGCCTTGGCCAGAACTTGCAACACTATGTTGAATAGGAGTGGTGAGAGAGGGTATCCCTGTCTTGTGCCAGTTTTCAAAGGGAATGCTTCCAGTTTTTGCCCATTCAGTATATTAGCTGTGGGTTTGTCATAGATAGCTCTTATTATTTTGAAATACGTCCCATCAATACCTAATTTATTGGGAGTTTTTAGCACGAAAGGTTGTTGAATTTTGTCAAAGGCCTTTTCTGCATCTATTGAGATAATCATGTGGTTTTTGTCTTTGGCTCTGTTTATATGCTGGATTACATTTATTGATTTGTGTCTATTGAACCAGCCTTGCATCCCAGGGATGAAGCCCACTTGATCATGGTGGATAAGCTTTTTGATGTGCTGCTGGATTCGGTTTGCCAGTATTTTATTGAGGATTTTTGCATCAATGTTCATCAAGGATATTGGTCTAAAATTCTCTTTTTTGGTTGTGTCTCTGCCCGGCTTGGGTATCAGAATGATGCTGGCCTCATAAAATGAGTTAGGGAGGATTCCCTCTTTTTCTACTGATTGGAATAGTTTCAGAAGGAATGGTACCAGTTCCTCGTTGTACCTCTGGTAGAATTCGGCTGTGAATCCATCTGGTCCTGGACTCTTTTTGGTTGGTAAGCTATTGATTATTGCCACAATTTCAGATCCTGTTATTGGTCTATTCAGAGATTCAACTTCTTCCTGGTTTAGTCTTGGGAGAGGGTATGTGTCGAGGAATTTATCCATTTCTTCTAGATTTTCTAGTTTGTTTGCATAGAGGTGTTTGTAGTATTCTCTGATGGTAGTTTGTATTTCTGTGGGATCGGTGATGACATCCCCTTTGTCATTTTTTATTGCGTCTATTAGATTCTTCTCTCTTTTTTTCTTTGTTAGTCTTGCTAGCGGTCTATCAATTTTGTTGATCCTTTCAAAAAACCAGCTCCTGGATTCATTAATTTTTTGAAGGGTTTTTTGTGTCTCTATTTCCTTCAGTTCTGCTCTGATTTTAGTTATTTCTTGCCTTCTGCTAGCTTTTGAATGTGTTTGCTCTTGCTTTTCTAGTTCTTTTAATTGTGATGTTAGGGTGTCAATTTTGGATCTTTCCTGCTTTCTCTTGTGGGCATTTAGTGGTATAAATTTCCCTCTACACACTGCTTTGAATGTGTTCCAGAGATTCTGGTATGTTGTGTCTTTGTTCTCGTCGGTTTCAAAGAACATCTTTATTTCTGCCTTCATTTCGTTATGTACCCAGTAGTCATTCAGGAGCAGGTTGTTCAGTTTCCATGTAGTTGAGCAGTTTTGAGTGAGATTCTTAATCCTGAGTTGTAGTTTAATTGTACTGTGGTCTGAGAGAGAAGTGTGGTCTGAGAGAAAAGTGTTTGTTTATGACTTTAGCCCACTTTTTAATTTTTTTCTTGAAAATTTGTTTAAGTTTTATTATAGAGGCTGTATATTAGAACTTTCTCAGATGCATAGTTAGCAAACGTTTTCTCCTATTCTGTAGGTGACCTGTTTAGTATATTGACAGTTTCTTTGTGGTGGTATGCATAATCTCTATTTTAATTTTGCCTTTATTGCAATCACTTTTGGTGTCTTCATCATGAAATCTTTGTCCATTTCTATATTCATAGCTGTATTGCCTAGGTTGTCTTAACTGGTTTTTATAGTTCTTGGTTGTACATATAAGTCTTTAATCCATCTTGAGTTAATTTTTGTATATGGCATAAGGAAGGGGTCCAGTTTTAATCTTCTGAATATGGCTTGCCAGTTACTCAAACGCCATTTATTGACTAGAAGATCTTCCCCACTGCTTGTTTTTGTCAGCTTTGTCAAAGAGCAGATGATTCTAGGTGTGTGGGCTTATTTCTGGGCTCTATATTCTGTTCTATTTTTCTATGTGTCTGTTTTTGTTCCAGTACCATGCTGTTTTTGTTACTGTAGCCCTGTAGTATAGTTTGAAGTCAGAGAGCATGATGCTTCAAATCTTGTTATTTTTGCTTATGATTGCCTTGGCTATTGAGTCTCTTTTTGTTTTCACATAAATATTAAAAAATTTTTTTAGTACTGTGAAGAATTTCATTGATAATTTAATTAAAATAGCATTGAATCTATAAATTGCTTTGGGCAGTAGGGCCATTTTAATAATATTGATTCTACATATCTATGAGCATGGAATAATTTTCCATTTGTTTGTGTCATCTTTTATTTCTTTGAAAAGTGCTTTGTAGTTCTCACTGGTAGAGATCTTTAGCTCCCTGTTTAGCTGTATTCCTAGGCATTTTTTTTGTGGTAATTGTGAAGGAAATTGCATTCCTGATTTGGCTCTCAGCTTCATCGTTTTTGTTGTATAGGAATGCTAGTAATTTTTGTACATTTATTTTGTACCTTGAGACTTAAGTGAAGTGGTTTATCAGATTATTGATCTTTTTGGCTGAGACTATGGGGTTTTTTAGATGTAGAATCTTGTCATATGGAAATAGAGATAGTTTGGCTTTCCAAATTTCCTATTTGGATGCTCTTTATTTCTTCTGCCTGATTGCTCTGGCCAGAATTTCCAATACTATGTTGAATAGGAGTGGTGGGAGAGGGCATCCTTGTCTTGTGCAGGTTTTCCAGGGGAATGCTTCTGGCTTTTGCCCATTCAGTATGATGTTGGCTGTAGATTTGTCGTAGATAGCTGTTATTATTTTGAGGTTTGTTTCTTCAATACCTAGTTAATTGAGAGTTTTTAAGAAGAAGGGTGTTGAATTTTATCAGAAGGCTTTTCTTTGTTTATTGTGATTATTATCTAATCATGTGGCTTTGTGTTTAGTCCTGTTTATGTGAGTAATCACATTTATTTATTTGCATATGTTTAACTAAACTTGCATCCCAGGGATAAAGCCTACTTGCTTGTGGTGAATCAGCTTTTTTGATATGCTGCTGGATTCAGCTAGCCAGAATTTTGTTGAGGATTTTTGCATTGATGTTCATTAAGCATATTGGCCTAAAGTTTCTGTTATTATTGTTGTTTCTCTGCAAGGTTTTGGTTTCTGAATGATGCTGGCCTCATAGATTCAGTTAGGGAGAAACTCCTCCTCAATTTATAGAAGCATTTTAGTAGGGCTGGTACCAGCTCTCCTTTGTTCATCTGGTAGAATTCAACTGTGAATTCATCTTGTTCTGGACATTTTTTGATTGATAAGCTATTTATTAATGATTCCATTTTGGAGTTCATTATTGTTCTTTTCAGAGATTGAATTTCTTTCTGGTTCAGCCTTGGAAGGGTATATGTTTTCAGGAATTTATATATTTCTTCTAGATTTTCTAGTTTGTGTACAAAAAGGTTGGTATGGTTCAGATACAGTTTGTATGCATAAGGGTTGGTATGGGTTTCAGCGGCCCCACTCAAATCTCATGTTCAATTGTAATCCCCAGTGTTGGAGGTGGACCCTGGTGGGAGGTGATAGAATAATGGGGCAGGTTTCTAAAGAATTGTTTAGCAACATACTCTTGATGTTTTTATAGTAGTTGGTCAGTTCTTGAGATATATGGTTGTTTAAAATTTGTAGAACCTCCTGCCTCAGTCTCTCTCTCTTTCTTTCTCATGATCCTGCCATGTAAGATGCCTGCTTTCTCTTTGCCTTCTGCCATAATTTAAGTTTTCTAAGGCCTGCCCAGAAGCTGACAAGAGGCCAGTATGATGCTGCCTGTAAAGCCTGTGGAACCATAAGCCAATTAAACCTATTTTCCTTATAAATTACCCAGTCTCACATATTTCTTGATAGCAGTACAAGAACAGACTAATACAGAGGGGTCAATAATACTCTCTGATAGTTATTTGTATTTCTGTGGGGTCAGTGGTAATATTCTCTTTGTCATTTCTAATTGTATTTATTTGAATCTTCTCTCTTGCCTCCTTTTAGCCTAGCTAGTGGTACATTGGTTTTATTTTATTTTTTCAAAAATCCAACTTCTGGATTTATTGATCTTTTGAATGTATTTTTGTGTCTAAATTTCCATCAGTTTACCTCTGATTTTGGTTATTTCTTGTCTTCAACTAGCTTTGGGGTCATGTTTCTTTTAGTTCTCTTGTTCTTTGGATTGTGATATTAGGTTGTTAAAATTGAGATAGTTGTAACTTTTTGATGTGGGAATTTAGAACTATAAAATTTTCTCTTTTCTTTTTTTAATGTCAATAGTTTTGGGGGTACAGGTGTTTTCTTGTTTCATAAATGAGTTCTTTAGTATTAAATTCAGATATTTTAGTGCATTTGTTACATGAGCAGTGTACACCGTACCCGATATGTAGTCTTTTATTTCTCTCCTCTCTCCCAATCTTTCTCCCAAGTACCCAATGTCCATTATATCACTCAGTATGTTTTTGCATCCTCATAACTTAGCTCTCACTTAGAAGTCAGAATATACAGTATTTGATTTTCCACTCCTGAGTTACTTCATTTAAGATGATGGTCTCCTGTTCCATCCAAGTTTCTAAAAAAGATACAATTAAGCTAATTTTTGTGGCTGAGTAGTGTTCCCTGGTGTATATATACCACATTTTCTTTATTTTCTCATTGGTCAATGTGCACTTAGGTTGGCTCTATATCTTTGCAATTGCAAATTGTGCTGGTATAAACAGATGTGTTCATGTGACCTTTTAATATAATGACTTATTTTCTTTTGGGTAAATATCCAATAGTGGAATTGCTGAATCACATGGGAGGTCTACCTTTATTTTTTTAAGGACTCTCCATAGTGTTTTTTATAGTGGTTTTACTAATTCACATTTCCACCAACAGTATAAAAGCATTCCCTTTGCACTACATTTATGCCAAATTCGATTGTCCTTTGACTTTTTAATTGTGACCATTTTTTGCAGTAGTAAGGTGGTATTTCATTATGGTTTTAATTTGCACTTTTCTTGTGATTAGTAATGTGCATGTGTTCATGGTTATTGGCTGTTTGTATATCTTCTTTTGAGAAATGTCTATTCATGTCCTTTGCCCACTTTTACTAAGATTACTTATTTTTTCTTCCTGATTTGTTTGAGTTTCTTGTAGATTCTAGATACTAGTCCTTGGTTGGATGCATAGATTGTGAAAATTTTCTCCCACTCTTCAGGTTGTCTTTGTACTCCACTGATTATTTCTTTTGCTGTGCAGAAGCTTTTCAGTTTAATTAGATTACACTTGCTTGTTTTTATTTTAGTTGTGTTTGCTTTTGGGGACTTAGTCATAAATTCTTTGCCTAAGCCAATGTCCAGGAGAATTTTTCCAGTGTTATTTTCTAGAATTTTCATGTTTTCATCTCTTAGATTTAAGTATTTTATTCATCCTGAGTTGTTTTTTATAAGGTGAGATATGAGAATTCAGTTTCATTCTTCTACATGTGGCCTCCCAATTATCCCAGCACCACCTGTTGAATAGGGTGTCCTTTCCCACTTTGTTTTTGTTTTCATTGGTGAAGATCAGTTGGCTGTAAGTATTTGCCTTTATTTCTGTGTTTTCTATTCTTTTCCATTGGTCTACATGCCTGTTTTTTTACCAGTACCATGCAGTTTTGATAACTATGACCTTATAGTATAGTTCAAAGTTAGGTAATGTGATGCTTAGTATAATTTGAAGTCAGGTAATGTGATGCCTTCCAATTTGTTATTTATGCTTTGTTGGGTGAAATTCACCCCTGATATTTCATGTAGGTTCTTTTCTATTTTCCCTAAGTGTCAGCCAGTCTGAGAAATAAAGGGACAGAGTACAAAAGAGAGAAATTTTAAACCTGGGTGTCCTGGGGAGACATCACATGTCGGCAGGTTCCGTGATGCCCCTCAAGCCGCAAAACCAGCAAGTTTTTATTAGCGATTTTCAAAAGGGGAGTGAGTGTACAAATAGGTTGTGGGTCACAGAGATCACATGCTTCACAAGGTAATAAAATATCACAAGGCAAATGGAGGCAGGTTGAGATCACAGGACCACAGGACTGGGGTGAAATTAAAATTGCTAATGAAGTTTCAGGCACGCATTGTCATTGATAACATCTTATCAGGAAACAGGGTTTGAGAGCAGACAACTGGTCTGACCAAAATTTATTAGGCGGGATTTTCCTCCTCCTAATAAGCCTGGGAGTGCCACGGGAGACAGGGGCTTATTGCATCCCTCTGCTACAACAGTAAAAGACAGCCATCCCCAAAGCAGCCATTTCAGAGGCCTCCCCTCAGAGACGCATTCTCTTTGTCAGGGATGTTCCTTGCTGAGAAAAAGAATTCAGCAATATTTCTCCCATTTGCTTTTAAAAGAAGAGAAATATGGCTCTGTTCTGCCCGGCTCACCGGCAGTCAGAGTTTAAGGTTATCTCTCTTGTTCCCTGAACACTGCTGTTATCCTGTTCTTTTTTCAAGGTGCCCAGATTTCATATTGTTCAAACACACATGCTCTACAAATAATTTGTGCAGTTAATGCAATTATCACAGAGTCCTGAGGCAACATTCATCCTCCTTGGCTTATGAAGATGATGGGTTTAAGAGATTAAAGTAAAGACAGGCATAGGAAATCACAAGGGTATTGATTAGGGAAGTGATAAGTGTCCATGAAATCTTCACAATTTATTTTCAGAGATTGCAGTAAAGACAGGCATAAGAAATTATAAAAGTATTAATTTGAGGAACTAATAAATATCCATGAAATCTTCACAATTTATGTTCTTCTGCCATGGCTTCAACCGGTCCCTCCGTTCGGGGTCCCTGACTTCCCACAACAATGCTTAGGATTGCTTATCCACTACGATCAAATAGTCTTCATCTTCAGGATGCAAGGTTGGTTCAACATACGCAAATCAATAAATGTGGTTCATCACGTAAACATACATGCTGCCACCTGCATCTGAAATAAGGTCAACATCACTGATCATCAGAGAAATGCAAATCAAAACCACAATGAGATAACATCTCACAACATTCAGAATGGCTATTGTTAAAAAAGAAATGTCTGTTAACATTCTTTCCCAACTTTTTAATGGGTTGTTTGGTTTTTTCTTTTAAATTTGTTTTAGTTATGTATAAATGCTAGATATTAGACCTTTGTCAGTTTCATAGCTTGCAAATATTTCTCCCATTCTGTAGGTTTTTCATTTACTCTGTTGATAGTTTCTTTTGCTGTGCATAATCTCTTTAGTTTAATTAGATTTCATTTGTTAATTTTCAATTTTTGCTTTTGTTGAAATTGCTCTCGGTGTCTTCATCATGAAATATTTGCCTGTGCCTATATCCTGAATGGTATTGCCTAGGTTGTATTCTAGGGTTCTTATAATTTTGTGCTTTACATTTAAGTCTTTCATCCTCTTGAGTTAATTTTTGTATGTGGTGTAAGTAAGGGATCCAGCTTCAATCTTCAGCATATCACTAGCCAGTTCTCCCTGCACCATTTATTGAATAGGAAATATTTTCCCCATTGCTAGATTTTCTCTGCTTTGTTGATGATCAAATAGTTGTAGGTGTATGGTCTTATATCTGGGCTCTATATTTTGTTCTATTGTTCTATGTGTCTTTTTTTTTTGTAGCAGTACCATGCTAATTTGGTTACTGCAGCACAGTAGTACAGTTTGAATGTGGGCAGCATGACACCTCCATCTTTGTTCTATTTGCTTAGGATTGCCCTGGCTATTCAGGCTCGATTTTGGTTCCATATAAATTTTAAAATAGTTTTTCTACGTCTATGAAGAATGTTCATTGTAGTTTAATTGTAATAGAATTGAATCTATAAATTGCTTTGGACAGTATGGCCATTTTCACGATATTGATTCCTCCTATCCATGAGCATGGAATATTTTTCCATTTGTTTATGTTATCTACGATTTTTTTTGAGCAGTGGTTTGCAGATCTCATTGTAGAGATATTTCACCTCCCTGGTTAGCTGTATTCCTAGGTATTTTATTTGTTTTATGGCAATTGTAAATGGAAATTCATTTGTGATTTGTCTCTTGGCTTGAATGTTCCTGGTGTACAGGAATACTAGCCATTTTTTGCATATTGATTTTGTATCCTGAAACTTTGTTGGAGTTGCCTATCAGCTTAAGAAGCTTCTGGGCTGAGACAATGAGGTGTTCTAGATATAGAACCATGCAATCTGCAAATATGGATAGTTTGACTTATCTTTCTATTTGAATGCTTTTTATTTCTCCTTTTTTCTTGTTTCTCTGGACAGAAATTCCAATGCTATGTTTAATAGAAGTGGTGAGAGAGGGAATCCTTCTCTTTTGCCGATTTTGAAAAAGAATTCTTCCAGCATTTGTCCATTCAGTATGATGTTGGCTGTGGGTTTGTCATATATGGCTCTTATTATTTTGAGGTATGTTCCTTCAATACCTAGTTTATTGAGAGTTTTTAACATTAAGCAAAGTTGAATTTTATCAAAACCTTTTTCTGCATTTATTGAGATAATTGTGTAGTTTTTCTCTTTAGTTTTCTTTATGTGATGAATCACATTTATTGATTTGGATATGTTGAACCAACCTTGAATCCCAGGGATGAAGCCTATTTGATGCAGGTGGATAAGCTATTTGATTTGCTGCTGCATTCAGTTTGCCAGTATTTCGCTGAAAATTTTTGCATCAATGTTCCTTAAAGTTTTCTGTTTGTTTGTTTGTTTTGTATCTCTGCAATGTTTTGGTATCAGAATGATTCTGGCCTCATAGAATGAGTTAGGGAGGAGTTCCTCTTTTTCCATTTTTTAGAATAGTTTCAGTAGTAATGGTACCACCTCTTTTTTGTACATCTGCTAAAATTGAGTTGTGAATCATTCTGGTCCTAGTCATTTTTTTGGTTAGTAATCTATTTACTACTGCCTCAATTTTAGAACTCATTATCAGTGTGTTCAGGGATTCATTTTCTTTCTGGTTCTGTCTTGGAAAGTTGTGTGTTTCCAGGAATTCATCTATTTCTTCTATATTTTCTAGTTTATATGCATAGAGGTGTATAGAATATTCTCTGATGGTTCTTTGTATTTCTGTGGGGTCAGTGATAATATCCCCTTTTTATCATTTCTTATTGTTTTTATTTGGATCGTCTCTGTTTTATTCATTGTTAGTCTAGCTAGTGATCTATCTATTTTATTATTTTTTTTCCAAACACCAGATCCAGGGTTTGTTAATCTTTTGCATGGTTTTTTAAATGGTTTTTCAAGTCTTTCTCTCCTTCAGTTCAGCTCTGATTTTGGGTATTCCTTCTTTTTTGCTAGCTTTGGGATGTGTTTGCTCTTGATTCTCTTGCTCTTTAAATAATGATGTTGAGTTGTTAACATGAACTCTTTCTAATTTTTTGATATAGGCATTTAGTGGTATAATTTTCACTGTTAACGCTGCCTTATCTGTGTCCCAGAGATTCTGCTATGTTGTATCTTCCTTATTATTTTCAAAGAATTTCTTGATTTCAGCCTCAATTTCATTATTTATTCAAAAATTATTCCAGAACAAGTTATTTAATTTCTATGTAATTGTATGGTTTTGAGTAAATTTTGCAGTCTTGAGTTCTAATTTGATTGCATTGCTGTCTGTGAGATGATTTTTCTTCTTCTATAGCTGCCCTTAACATTTTTATTTTTTTTAAGCCTAGGAGAATCTGATGATTTTGTGTCTTGCTGATGATCTTCTCATGGAGTACCTTACTAGGGTTCTCTGCATTTCCTGAATTTGAATGTTGGCCTGTTTATCTAGGTTGGGGGAAGTTCTCATGGAAGATATCCTGAAATGTGTTTTCCAAATTAGTCTTATTCACCCCATCTGCTTCAGGTACACCAATCAGTCATAGATTTTGTCTCTTTACATAATCCCAAATTTTTTGGAGGTTTGTTCATTTCTCTTCATCCTTTTTTTCCTCTATTCTTGTCTGCCTGTCTTATTTCAGAAAGACAGTGTTCAAGCTCTGAGATTTTTTCCTCTACTTGGCCTATTCTGCTATTAATACTTGTGATTGTATTATGAAATTTCTGTAGTGTGTTTTTTAGCTCTGTCAGATCGTTTACCTTTTTCTCTATACTGTTTATTTTGTCTGTCAGCTCCTGGATGCTTTATCATGATTTTCAGCTTCCTTGTATTTGGTTACAAAATGCTTTTTGTTTACCTCAGCTAAGTCTGTTTTTATTCATATTCTAACTTCTACTTCTGTCATTTCAGCCATCTCAGCCTCAGCCCATTTCTGAACTCTTGCTGCAGAGGTGATGCAGCCATTTGGAGGAGAGAGGATACTCTGGCTTTTTGAGTCTTCAGTGTTCTTGCACTGATTATTTATCAATTTAGTGGACTTCAGATATTTTAGGTTGCTGACCTTTGAATGCATTTATTTTTTTAGAAGCCTGGTGACTTTTCTGTAGGGGTGCTGTGGTTTGCTGGGGATCCACTCCAATTCCTAGTCACCTTGGATTTTCCTGTACCACTGGGAGGCATCTCCAGTGAAGGCTGCAAAACAGCAAAGATGGTAGCCTGCCCCTTCTGCTGGGAGCTCTGTCCCAGAGAGGTATAGACCGGTTGCTTGTCCAAATGCACCTGTAGGAGCTGACTGGAGACCTCAGTTTGGAGGTATCACCCAGTCAGGAGTCACAGGATTGGAGGCCTGCTTATAGAAGCAGTCTGGCCACACTTTTATAGAGCAGCTGTTTTGTGCTGAGGTATTGCTTCCACCCCTGGTTGGCATGGGCTCTCTAAAGCCTGGAGGCTGGAACAGCTAAGGTGCTCAGACAGCAAAGATGGTGGCACATGCCTCTTTCTGGGAGCTCTTTACCAGAAAGTTTTGAGATCTCTGTTGGTGAGAACACCAGCAGTGGTAGTTCGAGGCCCTGGTTGGGAGGTCCCTTCCAGTGAGGAGGAACAGAATGGGGACTCACTTAAAGAAGCAGTCTGGCCACATTTTGGTGCTGTGCTGGGGGATCCCTTCCACCCCTGGTCTGTTTGCACTCTCCAAAGCTTATAGGCTAAAACAGCTGAGTCATCCAAGCAGCAAAGATGGTGGCCCAACCCTCCACCTAGGAACTCTATTTCAGAAACAATTTAAATTTCTGTCAGCTGAAGAACACCAGCAGGGGTGGCTGGAGGCCCCAGATGAGAGGTCCCACCCAGTGAGGAGGAATGGATTTGGGGATCTGCTTAAAGAAGTAGCATGGCCATGTTTTGGTAGAGCAGCTGTGCTGTGTTGGGGGATTCCTTCTTCCCTGGGTCAGTTTGGATTCTCCAAAGCCCACAGGCTGGAATGGCTGAGTCATCCGAGCCGCAAAGATGGTGGCCTGCCCCTTCCCCACGGGAACTCTGTCCCAGTTAGGGGTGATTCTGTTGGTGATTGGCTTATCTTCTGAGGTGCTATGAAAGTGGAGCCCACAGACAGTTGCTGCTCAGCCCCAGGGATTCAGCCTCTTTCCTAAGATTATGTATGGAAGTCCAACCTCCTGCCTTGCTAGAGTAGCAGTCACTTGTGCCAGAAAGCCCAGGGCCAGAGTGTGTAAAGCTCCTGGGCTTCTGTAGCACATGCCTGTGCAGCTGCTCTGCTGAGACTCCACATAACTCTGTGTGTCAGAATGAAGACCCTAGTCAAGTGAGTTCACAAAGGGATCATCTGACTCAAGGGTTTCAAAGATTCATGGGAGAAGCATGGTTTCCCAGGGTAGCACATTCAGTCACTGCTTCCCTGGGTGGGGGAGGTTCCTCTAGCTTCATGTTGCTCCCAGGTGGGCCACTTTACTGTCTTGCTTTTGTTCATTCTCCGTGGGTTGAGTTCTTTCATTGATTAGTCCCAATGCAAGTGCTTGGATGTTTCAGTTGAAGGTGGTGTATTTACTCACACCTTTTGTTCCTTTATATGAAAACCACACACCTGAGCTGCTTCTAGTAAGCAATCCCAGCAACTTTTTAAATGCTGATTCAATCTCACTGCTTGTTATTTGTCTGTTCAGGGTTTATAGGAGGGTTGTATGTTTTTAGGAATTTATTCATTTTGTCTAGATTTTCTAGTTTGTGGACATAAAGGTGTTCACAGTAGTTTTTTTTTTTTTTTTTTTTTTTTTTTTTTTTTGAGATGGAGTCTTGCTCTGTCACCCAGGCTGGAGTGCAGTGGTGTTATCTCGGCTCACTGCAAGCTCCACCTCCTGGGTTCACACCATTCTCCTGCCTCAGCCTCCCGAGTGGCTGGGATTACAGGTGCCCACCGCCATGGCCAGCTAATATTTTGTATTTTCAGTAGAGACAGGGTTTCACCGTGTTAGCCAGGATGGTCTCTATCTCCTGACCTCATGATCCACCCCCCTTGGCCTTCCAAAGTGTTGGGGTTACAGGCGTGAGCCACTGTGCCCAGCCCTGTTCACAGTAGCTCTGAATGATCCTTTGTATTTCTTTGGCATATGTTGTAATAGCTCCAGTTTCATTTCTAATTTAGCTTATTTGTATTTTTTCTCTTCTTGATTAATCTCACTAGTAGTCTCTCAACTTTGTTTATCTTCTCAAATAACTAGCTATCTGTTTCATTTATTTTTTGTGTTAATTTTTGGCTCAATTTTATTTAGTTATTCTCTGATCTTTGTTATTGTTTTCTTTTTTTTTCTGTTGTGCTTGGGTTTAGTGTGTTCTTGTTTCTCTAGATCATTGAAGTGCGACATTAATTTGTCAATTTGTGCTTTTTCAGACTTTTAGATGTAGGCATTTAATGCTATAAACTTTCCTCTTAACCCTGCTTATTTTCTGTATCCCAGAGGTTTTGATAACTTGTGTCTCTACTGTCATAAATTTCAAAAAATCACTTAGTTTCCATCTTGCTTTCATTGTTAATCTAAAAATCATTTAAGAGCAGGTTATTTAATTTCTGTGTATTTGTATAGCTTTGAGAATTCCTTTTGGAGTTTATTTGCAGTTTTATTCCACTGTAGTCTGAGAAGATACTTGATATAATTCTGATTCTCTTATATGAATTGAGACTTGTTTTGTGGCCTAACATATTGTCTGTATCAGAAAGTATTCAATGTGCTGATGAGAAAAATGCATATTCTGCCTTTCTTGGGAAAAATGTTCCATAAATATCTGTTAAGTCTACTTTTTTTCCTAGTGTATTGTTTAATTTTATTATTTCTTTGTAGGATTTCTATCTTAATTATCTGTCTAGTACTGTCAGTGAAGTGTTAAAGACCCCCACTAATATTGTGCTACTGTCTGTCTCATCTCTTAGGTCTAGTGCTAATTGTTTTGTACATCTAGATTCTGCAGTGTTAGATGCACATAAATTTAAGATTGTAATATGTTCTTGTTGGACTGTTGTTTTTATCAATATTAATGTCCTTTATTGTCTTTTTTAAACTGTTGTTTCTTTGAAGTCTGTTTTGTCTGATATAAGAATAGCTACTCCTGCTCACTTCTGATTTCCAGTTGTGTAGAATATCTTTTTCCACCTCTTTACCTTGAATTTATATAAATCTTTTTGTGTTGAGTCTACTGAAGACAGAAGATATTTGGTAGGTGGTCTTTTATTCATTCTGCTATTTTGTGTCTTTCAAGAGAAGCATTTAGGCCATTTATATTAAATGTTAATATTGAGATGTAACACGAGAGTGTTCTATTCATCATATTATTTGTTACCTACTTTTTTTATTGTGTTATTGTGTTATAGGCCCTGTGAGTTTTGTGCTTCCAAAAGGTTGTATTTTGGTGCATATCAAGTTTTCATTTTGAGATTTAGAACTTCTTTTAGCATTTTGTTTTGTAGTGCCGATTTAGTAGTGGCAAATTCTCTCAGCATTTGTTTGACTGAAAAAAATCTTTATCTCTCCTTCATTTATGAAGCTTAGTTTTGTGGGATACAAACTTTTTGGCTAACAATTATTTTTTTAAGGTGACTAAAGGTACGATCCTAATTCCTTCCAGTTTGTATGGTTTCTGCTGAGAAGTCTGTTGTTCACCTGATAGGTTTTCCTTTGTATGTTACCTCTATGCTTTTGTCTCTTCGTGCTTAGTATTCTTTTCTTTGAGTTCACTTTAGGTAACCTGATGACTATGTGCCTTGGTGATTATCATTTTGCAATGCATTTTCTAGGATTTCTTTGTGCTTCTTGTATTTGAATATCTAAATCTCTAGTGAGGCCAGGGAGGTTTTCCTTAATTATTCCGTCAAACAAGTTTTCTGAACTTTTAGCCTCCTCTTGTTTCTCAGGAACATCAATTATACTTCAGTTTGGTCATTTCACATAATCCCATTTTTCTTGGAGACTGCTCATTTTTTAAATTCTTTTTCTCTATCTTTGTCTGACTGGGTAAATTGAAAGCTTTGTCTTTGAGCTCTGAAATTCTTCTATGATTTCTAGTGTATTATTGAAACTTTATACTGTGTTTTGTATTTCTCTAAGTGTGTCTTTTATTTACAAAAGTTCTAATTGGTTTTTCTTTATGACATCTATCTTTCTGGACAAATTTTTATTCATATCCTGATTTTTTAACAATTTATTTAAATGTTGATGTTTACCTTTCTCTGGTATCTCCTCGAGTAGCTTAATAATCAACCTTCTGAATTATTTATCTGGTATTTCAAAGATTTCATCTTGGTTTAGATCCATTGCTGGTGAACTAGTGTGATCTGTTGAAGGTGTTAAAGAACCTTGTTTTGTCATATTACCACAATTACATTTTTTTCTTCTCATTTGTGTATACTATTTCTTCAAATTTTTCTTGACTTTATTTTTAATTTGACTTAAAAAATTATTTCCCTCTTAAGGATGTGACTTTAATGTTTTTATGTTATTATAGCCTAATTTGATTCTTGGTGCTTTTAGAAGTAAAGAAAAAGTTTCTTAGTTACAGAGAGTGTTTATATGCAAAATTTCACAGATGCTGGTTGGAGTAGTTATGTACTTTGTGTATTGGCAATTTCACTGTCTCCTATGGTGTTGAAATGGCAAGGATCTCTTAAAGCTTATCTCATTCCCTCATTGTGTGAACTTTTTTTTGTTTAATTTTTTCCTAGTATTTTATTTACTGAGTTGATGTTTCAGGCTTCAGGCCAGTAGGGGTGGTATTAGTGGGTAGAAATCAGTTGTACCTTAAAGCACTGAGTTTTCTCATAGTGAAAGGTGGGAGCTACTGCAATTCCCCAACCAGGCAAGCAGAAAAGCCATCCACCTCCCAGCCTCACTCCTGTCCCAGTGTTCCAGCTATGTACTTCAATCATGGACCTTTTTATGTCTGTAGGAATGTTGATGCTCTGAGTAGGAAGGAATTTTGACTCTGCCTCTCATGCAAGCCTGTACCTGGGGAGTGCTTCTCCTACAGATATGCAATCACCCAGATTTGTTTCAGGAAGGTTGTCTATAGGTGCATTTATGCTGAGTTCCCATGGGAGAAGCCAAAGCAGTGTCTTCAGTGGTGGACAAGGGAGAAACAATTACCCCTTCGTGAAGTTTCTTCACTAGCATGAAGCCTGCTTGCCTGTTGTGGTAGAGTTGCAGGATTTCCTTGTTGCATTAAGCACTGCAATTGTTTCTCTTTTTAAACAACTTCCCATGAGCAGAAAGATCTGGGACTGGAGGTATGCCGTCCAGATTCTTTTGTCCCACATGGTTTTCCCTTGATGTGGTGCTCTTCCTCTTTCCCTAGGAGTAGGAGTTCCTGAGAGCCAAACCACAGTGACTGCTATTGCTCTTCTGGGTCTAGGCACCCAGTGGTGTTGCCACATGGTGGGGAATGTCTGTAAGAAATACAGTTCTGTGACCTGTTTTCAAGTTTCCCAACAGTGGGCACTAGCACTAGCTCTGATGGTGGCAGGGGATTGATGTAGACTTTGTGATTCCTTGGTTGTAGATAGGCTTAGTGTACTGGATTTCTTGAATGCTTGTTATAATTGTAGTAAACTTGTCACATTGACAGAATTAGTACCTCTGGTTACCCAAGTTGTTATAGGAAGTGGTGATAGCTGAATTCACACAGCAATTTTCTCCTTCCTGAACACAGCATTATTCTGGAGATGCTATAGTAGATTGTGTTTGTTGGCCTCCAGCTAGGAGGTGGTGCTTGCAAAAGAGCACCAGCTAAGGTAGTAGATGTACGATCTGAGCTTACCTTAAGTTGCCCAGGAAAAGTAATCTGCTTTCTCAAGTCATGAGTGGGGCTATAAAGCTCCCCAAAATTTATTTCCTTGGTCTTAAGCTACCAGATTGGGTGGAGGAACTCAGCCAGGAGGGGCAGGATTAGGCAGGCCTGCACTCTGACTTTCTTTGAGCAGTGCAAGCTATTGCCCCTGTGAGTGTTGAGGGTGGCTTTGGGGGCACTGAGGTAATGTTTCAGAAGGGAGTATAACTTCCTCTGCCTCACAGAAGAGTTTTCCACAGGAGAGGGGAGTAGCAGGTGTCAGTACACCTCACTCAGCACTCGTGCAGCTGGCAAGGCTGATCTCGCTCTAGCAGTGCTCTGCTACCAGCAGCAGATTTATATCCAGGCAATCTTCACACAGAATTCAAACCTTCCCCAGGCCATAAGCTTTCCCTGCAGAGATAGAAACCACACCTTTCAGGCCACACCTCTCTCTATCTTCCCATGAGGCCAGGAGCTGAGCTCTTGCACTCATGTCTGCAGCATCCTTCTCACTTGCCCCTTGGATACAGGACAAGGGAGTTCATCACCTCGAGATTACATTACAAAATTTAGCTGGAATATTTTTTTCACCTTCTGTTGTGGGAACTCAGGGACCCCAAATGGAGGGACCAGATGGAGCCATGGCAGAGGGACATAAATTGTGAAGATTTCATGGACATTTATCAGTTCCCAAATAATACTTTTATAATTTCTTATGCCTGTCTTTACTTTCTTTACTTTAAGCTCTTAACCCTGTTATCTTCGTAAGCTGAGGATGTATGTCACCTCAGAACCACTGTGATAATTGTGTTAACTGTATAAATTGATTGTAAAACATGTGTGTTTGAACAATATGAAATCAGCACACCTTGAAAAAGAACAGAATAACAACAATTTTTAGGGAGCAAGGGAAGACAACCATAAGGTCTGACTGCCTGCAGGGTCAGGCAAAAAGAGCCATATTTTTCTTCTTGCAGAGAGCCTATAAACAGACGTGCAAATAGGGAAGATATCACTAAATTTTTTTCCTAGCAAGGAATATTAATATTAATACCCTGGGAAAGGAATGCATTCCTGGGGGAGGTCTATAAATGGCTGCTCTGGGAGTGTCTGTCATATGCGGTTGAGATAAGGCCTGAGGTACGCCCTGGTTTTCGGCAGTACCCTCAGGCTTACTAGGGTGGGGAAAAAACACTGCCCTGGTAAATTTGTGGTCAGACCGGTTCTTTGCTCTAAAACCCTGTTTTTTGTTGTTTAAGATGTTTATCAAGACAATATGTGCACTGCTGAACATAGACCCTTATCAGTAGTTCTGCTTTTGCCCTTTGCCTTGTGATCTTTGTTGGACCCTTATCAGTAGTTCTCCTTTTTGCCCTTTGAAGCATGTGATCTACTCCCTGTTCTTACACCCCCTCCTCTTTTGAAATCCTTAGTAAAAAACTTGCTGGTTTGAGGCTCAGGTAGGCATCATGGTCCTACTGATATGTGATGTCACCCCCGGCAGCCCAGCTGTAAAATTCCTCTCTTTGTACTCTTTCTCTTTATTTCTCAGCAGGCTGACAGTTATGGAAAATAGAAAGAACCTACATCAAAATATTGGGGGCGGGTTCCCCCGATAACCCTCTGACTCTTCCCTGACCTAGTTGGGTGACTTTTCTGAGGTCCCCTGTGAGATATATTTACTAATGGTTTTAGACTGGGAATACCTGTAAAGCACTTCCCACTTCTGCTCCTACTTTTATATTTCTCACCACTCACTAAATCAGTTCCAATTCTGGGAAGGGTTAAGGCTTTCTCCTGTGGTCTGGATTTTAATATTCCCTGGTGGGGATGTGTATTCTGAAGGCAGTATCTCCCCATCTCACACTCTGAGGACTTACCACCATTTGTTGTTGTTGTTGTTTTTTACTTATCCCTCAAAGCAGGCTGCAGACTGCCACCTCTTTCAAAGAGTCTGTAGATTTTTAAAATTTTCTTAAGTTCCTGTATTGATTCTTGGAAATGTGTTTACAGTGTGAATCTGTACACACTATTCTGCCCTTCCAAATGAGAAGGGCACACTAACACTGCCTCCAATCTGTCATCTTGGAAAAAAATAAAAATTTATCTTGTTAAGCTGCCTTAGCTGTGTCTCAGAGTTTCTGGTTTGTTGTATCTTTGTTCTCATTAGTTTCAATTAAATTATTTATTTCTCCTTTAATTTTATTATTTACCCAAAGGTCATTGAGAATCAGATTATTCAATTTCCGTGTAATGGTATGATTTTCAACTATCTTCTTATTCTTGAATTCTATTTTTATTGCACTGTGGCCCAAGAGAATGGTTGTTTTGATTTCAGTTTTTTTTTCATTTTCTGAGAGGTGTTTTATGTCTGATTAAGTGTTGATTTTAGAATATGTGCTATGTAACAATAAGAAAAATGTATATATGTGTATATATAAATCCACACATATATATACATACATATATACATCCATATATACATATATGTATATACATATATAGTATGTATATACACATATGTACATATATGTATATACATATATAGTATGTATATACACATATATACATATACATATATGTATATACATATATAGCATGTATATACACATATATACATATATGTATATACTATATATGTGTGTATATATACATATATATGTATGTGTATATATGTATATATATGTATGTATATATACACATATATATGGATGTGTATATATATGTGTATATATATGTGTATATATATGTGTGTATATATATGTGTATATATGTGTATATATATGTATATATGTGTGTACATATATGTGTGTGTGTATATATATATACACACACACACATATATGTACACACATATATATATACAGTGGAAAGTTCTGTGGATGTCTGTCAGTTCTATTTAATCCAGTGCTGAGTTTAGATTCTGAAAATTTTTTTTTTTGTCACAATGTTCTAATACTGTCAGGTGTTGAGGTCTCCCATTATTATTGTGCAGAACTGTAAGTCTCTTTGAACATCTCTAAGACTTGCTTTATAAATTTGGGTGTTCCTGTGTAAAGTGCATATATATTTAGGATAGATCTTTTTTTTTTAATTGAACTTTTTACATTATGTAATAATTTCTCGGTCTTTTATGATTTTTGTTAGCTTAAAGTCTATTTTGTTTGAAATTAGAATTGCAAAGTCTGCTTTTATTCTGTTTTCCATTTGCTTGTTAAATTTTTCTCTATTTTTCCTATTTTTATTTTCAGCCTATGGGTGTCATTGTATGTGAGATTGGTATCTTAAAGACCGAAGACCAGTGAGTCTTGATCCTTTATCCAGCTTGCCTCTCTGTGCTTTTTAAATGGGGCATTTAGCCCATTGACATTAAGGTTAATAATGAAATGTGTGGGTTTGATCCTGTCGTGATGATCTTAACTGATTATTATGCAGGCTTGTTTGTGTAGTTGCTTTATAGTGACACTAGTCTCTGTACTTAAGTGTGTTTCTGTAGTGGCTGGTAAGACACCCGTTTTCCCCCCTATTTAGTGCTTCCTTCAGAAGATCTTGTAAGGCAGGCCTGGTGGTAACAATTTCCCTCAGCATTTGCTTGTCTGGAAAGGATCTTATTTTGTCTTAATTTATGAGGCTTTGTTTTACCAATTTCTTTTAATTAACAATGTTGAATATTGGCCCCTAATCTCTTCTGGCTTGTAGGGTTTCTGCTGAAAGATCTCCTGTTAGTCTGATGGGCTTCTCTTTATAGATTACCTATTCTTTCTTTCCAGTTGCCTTTAACATTTATTCTTTGAATTTTACCTTGAAGAATATGATTATTTACCTTGGGGATAATCTTCTTGTGAAGTATCTTACTGGGGCTCACTGCATTTTCTGAATTAAATGTTGGCCTCTCTAGCTAGGTTGGGGAATAACTCATAGATGATATCCTGAAATATGTTTTACAAATTGCTTTCATTCTCCCTGTTTTAGCAACACCAATGAGTCACAGATTTGGTATCTTTACATACTACCATGTTTCTAGGAGGTTTTGCTTATTCCTTTTTATTCTTCTTTTCTCTGTTATTGTTTGATTTTCTTATATCAGAAAGCCAGTCTTCAAGCTTTGAAGTTCTTTCCTCAACTTGGACTATTCTTATGTTAATACTTGTGATTGATTTGTGAAATTCTTATGTTTTTCATCTCTATTAGGTCAGTTATGTTCTTTTCTATACTGGCCATTTTGTCTGTCATCTCCCCTATTGTTTTATTATGTTTCTTAAGCCTCCTTGGATTGGGTTTCAATGTACTCTTACATCAAAATAATCTTTACTTTTATACATATACTGAATTCTATTTCTGTCATTTCAACCATCTGAGCCTAGTTCAGAATTCTTGCTAGAAAGCTAGTGCAGCTCCTTGGAGAAATGAAGGCACTCTAGCTTTTTGTGGTGTCAGAGTACTTGAGCTGTTTATTTTCTCATCTTTGTGTGCCGACGTTCCTTCAGTCTGTGAAGTTGCTGTCATTCAGATTGTTTTTTCTGTTGTCCTATTTGATGCCCCTGAGTGTTCAATTGTATAAGGTGGGTTCAATTGACTGGATTTATTTCTGCAAAATTTTAGGGTGTCAAGTCTCAGCTTCCAACTCCTGGACTGTGTGCCCTAATTCTCAGAGATTCTTATCAGGCCCCAACTTTTTTCTCTGACTCCTTGATGTTACAAACCTACTATGTTGGCGGAGGCTGAGGTGCTCCCAGACTGCTTGTCTTTTCACTCCAGTAGGTGGTACCACTTAAGCCATTTCATATAGTGGCAGTGGGATCTGTCCACACTTACACATGTCATCAGCAATGGCAGCAGCGGCATGGCAGGTTGGATGCTTGTTAGCTGAGGCAGGGTGTTAATGGGTATGTGGGTACATGCCTCCCTGCAGACTTCCAAAACAGTGAAAGAGGCAGCACTGTTCGAAGGGCTGGAAGGCCTCTGCTGGCAACTTTGCTTGTGGTCAGGCTTGTGGTGGTCTTAGCATGGGGGTGGGGCACTGGCAAACACAAATCTGAGTTTGCTGTCTGTGCACATTCATACAAGTGGGGATAGCTGCTTAGGGTGGGGAGGGGTTCACTTTTCAATGTGCCTAGTTTCACTCCAGCAGCAGTGTTGGAACAAGGGCAGGACACTTGGGAGGGCGAGGATGGTGGGCTCTATGCCCACCAAAGCTCTGACTTCAATGGCAGTATGGTGGGGAAAAAAGGCAAAGTTCTCTCCTGCCAGCCTCAGTGGTGGGCAAGGTGCATGCACACAGGTATGCTGGTGGGGCAGGGAAGGCAAAATTTTCCCATGCACATGCATACCCACAAAGCAGTGGGCCCCAGGGAAGCAGCAGTGGGTAAAGGGAGTGGGTAAGCTGATACATGGCCATGGGGGCCACCCTCCTGGAGCTCTCCACAAGTCAGACACAGTCTACCAATTCAGGAGTTATGATATGGGCTCCAGGGCAACCAAGACTGCACAGTAAGCAGGAACAGCCAGGCTGGGGTCCCAGGACAGGCCAGCAGATTAAGGGGTCCTCGGTTCAGACTAGCCCCAACTGATGGGCAAAACCACCCTGCAGACTTCAAGTTTTTTAGTTCCCCTAGGGCTAAAGTCTCCTCTGGGATTAAGTGGAACCTAGGGGTTTGGGCATGCCTGGCTCTGCTCCACTACAGATACTCCCTCACCAAACCTGTCAGCTGGTTTGCTGCTCCTACCACTTCTCTAAGCAGCTGCCCTTGTCAATTCAAGTGCTTGTGGTGGTCAAGAGGTCACCTACTGGAATCTCAGAGGCCCATGGTGAGAGTGGGTTGCTCCTTACTGTTCAATGTACTTGTTCCAACCTTCCTCTCCCTTCAGCCCAGCTTCTGTGTCTTTCCTCCATCCACCCTCAGTTTCTTCACTCTGAAGATCTGTTAAGAGTAAACCAGTCATCCTGGTCCCTCGGTGGCAGCTGTTCCACCTGGTAGCATCTAGTCAGCCATCTTGCCCAAGTCCAGCTGTGGATATTCTCAGATTATTTTTTATTGGTCATTGATGTCCTTTTCTTTCTGATTGAAAGAAGTACTCCCTTTAGTATTTATCCTAGGACAGGGGTAATGTTGATAAAGTTTATCAGCTTTTGTTTTTCTGGGAAATGCTTTATTTCTCCTTCATGTTTGAAGGATGTTTTTGCTGGACTCTTCTAGGGTAAAAGTTGTTTTCGGCACTTTAAATATATCATGCCTCACTTTCCTGGCCTGCAAGGTTTTTGCTGAAAAGTCTGCTGCCAGATGTGTTGGAGCTTTATTGTATGTTACTTTTTTTTTCCTTGCTGCTTTTAGGATCCTTTCTTTATCCTTGACCTTTGGGATTATTAAATGCCTTGAGATAGTCTCCTTCAGGTTAAATCTGCTTGAAGCTGTATCATGTTCTTCTACTTGGATGTTGATATCTTTCACTAGGTTTGGGAATTTTTCTGTTATTATCCCTTTGAATAAATGTTCTACCACTTTCTGTTACTCTCTCTTCTCTTTAAGGCCAATGACTTTTAGACTGCCCTTTGGAGGCTATTTTCTAGATCCTGTAGGAATGCTTCTTTTTTTTTTTTTTTTTTGAGATGGAGTCTCGCTCTTGTTGCCCAGGCTGGAGTGCAGTGATGTGATCTCAGCCCACTGTAACCTCCGACTCCCAGGTTCAAGCGATTCTACTGCCTCAGTCTCCTGAGTAGCTGGGATTACAGGCACCTGCCACCATGCCGAGCTAATTTTTGTATTTTTAGTAGAGACAGGGTTTCACCATGTTGGCCAGGCTGGTCTCCAACTCCTGACCTCAGGTGATCCACCTGCCACAGCCTCCCAAAGTGCTGGGATTACAGGCATGAGCTACCGCGCCTAGCCTACTTCTTTATTTTTATTCTTTTTTTTTCTTTTGTCTCCTCTGTTTATTTTCAAATAGACTGTCTTCAAGCTTACTATTTTTTCTTCTGCTTGATCAATTCTGCTAGTAAAAGACTGATTCATTCTTCAGAACATCAATTCCATTTTTAACCCCTGGAATTTCTGTTGGATTCTGTTTAATTATTTCAATCTCTTTGTTAAATTTATCTGATAGAATTCTGAATTCTTTTTTTGTGTTATCTTGATTTTTTGAGTTTCCCCAAAACAGCTATTTTGAATTATCTGTCTGAAAGGCCACATATTTCTGTCTGTCCAGAATTAGCTCATCATGCCTTATTTACTTTATATGGTAAGATCATATTTTTACAGATTATCTTGATACTTTTAGACGTTCATCTGTGTCCAGGCACTGAAGAATTTGGTATTCATTGTAGTCTTTACACTCTGGGCTTGTTTGTACCAGTTCTTCTTGGGAAGGCATTCCAGATATTTGAAAATACTTGAGTGTTGTGATCTAAGCTGTATCTGATTTAGGGGAGACCCCAACCCCATAATGCTGTGGTTCTTGCAGATTCATAGAGGTACCACCTTGGTGGTTTTGGGCAAGTTTTTAAAGAATTTTCTGGATTAGCAGGCAGAAACTCTTATACTCTTCCCTTACTTTCTCCCAAACAAAAAGAGTCTCCCTCTCTGTTTCAAGCCACTGAAAGTTGCAGGTAAAGTTACACCAGAACCACTGTGTCCACCATCCTTAGGACTACACTTGTTCAGACCTGAAGACAGCACTGTACTGGGTCTCTCCTAAGGCCTGCTGTAACCACTCTCTGGCTACCACCTATATTTGCTTGAAGCTGTGTGGTTCTACAATTAGCAGGTAGTAAAATCATCCAGGCTTGTTTGTCCCCTTTTAGGGCAGCAATTTTCCACAGGACCCAAGCAGGTACTGAGGTTTTGTTTGGCAGCCAAGAACTGTAGTAAAAACCCTTAAAACTCTACCTGGTGTTTTATTGTACTGTGGCTGCACTGGCACTTAAACTCCGAGATGCAGTTTTTCCCACTCTTGTCTCCCCTTTCCAAGGGTAGAGGAGCCTCACTCAATGGTTACTGGCCCCTCATGCCCATTATGAGTACTGCCAGACTACCAGCAATGTTACCTTAAGTCCTAAGGCCTCTTTAGTAAGCTTGTGGTGAAAGTTGCCTGGCCTGAAACTCACTCTTCATGGCAGTGGGCTCCCTTCTGTCCCAGGGGAGGTAAAGAAAGGCCATCCGAGAGGCAATTTCTGAAATCAGGGATCCCAAACGCCCACTTGGTACTCTACACTTCTGTGGTTATACTGGTACCTAAGGTGAAAGACAAAGTCTTTTTTTACTTTTTTCTCTCTTTTTTCAAGAAGGAGTTTTTCCCTGTAACCACTACAGCTGGGAATTTGTTAAGTCACACCTTAAGCTAGCAAGTCTCACACAAGTCCCACACAGGTCTCACACAAGTCCACCTTACCTGGGTATCACTGCTGGTTATTCAGGGCCCAAGGAGTCTTCAATTAATAAGTGATAAATTCTGCCAAAACTAAGTTTTTCCCTTTAAGGCAGAAGGTTCCCTTCTGTCCCAGGGTGTGTCGAGAAATGTTGTCCGGAAGCTAGTGCTTGGATAGAGGGCGTCATGACTCTGACTGATGCTATTTCTTGCTGTGGCTGAATTGGGTATCCAAGATGCAAGACAAAGCCCTACCCCTCTTCTCTCTCATTTTAGACCATTCCTGATGCTTAACAAACTACTTTAGACTAGGCAATTTATAAAAACAAAAAAGAAATTTATTGCTTACAATTCTGGAGCATGGGAAGTCCAAGATCATGATGGCAACAGATTCATCGTTTGGTGACAGCCTGCTCTCTGCTTCAAAGATGGTGCTTTCTTGTGTCCTCACATGACAGAAAGGGCAAGCAAAGCATCCCGTAAACCTCTGTTATAAGGTTACTAATCCCATTCATGAGGGTTTTGCCCTTATGATCTAATCACTTTCTAAAGGCTACATGTCTTAATACTATCTTTTTGAATATTAGGTTCCAACATATAAATTTCAGGGGAGAACATCAACATTCAGACCACAGCATTGCAGCCTTGTCCCTCACAAATCATCTCTTTCTAACATGCAAAACACACTAATTTTATCACAATTACCCCAGATGTCTAAACTAGTTCAATCATCATCTTTAAAATCTAAATCCAAAGTCTCATCTGAATATCATCTACATAAAATATGGGTGAGACTCAAAGTATCATTTATTCTGAGGAAAATTTTTCTCCAGCTGTGAGCCTGTAAAATAAAACATGTATGTGCTTCCAAAATACAGTGATTGGATAGTCATAGGTTAAATATTCTCTTTCCAAAAAGGAAAAATAGAAAAGAGGAAAGGAATAATGTCTCAAGTAAATTCAAAGCTCAATAAGGTAAACAACATTAAATTTTACAGCTCGATAAAAATCTTTTACTACACATTCCAAATTCCAGACAAACTGGGAAGGCTGTTGGCCACCACTATGGATTCAGTAGACATTGCTTTTTGCTGTGGCCCAATTCTCATGGCTTTACTGGGGATTGACTTGGTGGGGCTCTCTATGGTTGCCCTACTCTCAAGGTGGCCCTCTCCCTAGGTTGCATGACCAAGGTTCCAGATTGTTCCATCTTTCAAATTCTAGATGAAAGCAGCCATACACCCATAGCTTGTATACTCTTTAGTATAGTGGAGATGACACTCCACAAATGCCTTTAAGATTTGCCACCTGTACCCTCTGGAAGGGCAGCCAAAGTGGCCCACATTGTACCTAGACACAGTGGAATCACACCTTGAATTGCTGAGGCGGTATGCTCCAGAATATGAGCAGCAAAAACTTGAGGCAGTGCCAGGCAGTGAGTGCTCCGGTTCTGAGAACATTGAAGGTTACTCTTTTGGTAATAGTTATGTCCCTCATTTCTTTATACTATTTACTTGTGATGGAAGTGGAAATTCCAATGATCTTGGAAATGACATCAGTTTCATTTTTCTGTTCTCTTAATGAACGGCACCAGTCTTCCATCCATCCATATTAATCTTCTTGTAAAATAATCTCTTGGCCAAACTTTTGGTGTTCTGTCACGGACATGCTTTTTTCTTTATTCTGTACAACTTGAGCAGACTAGACATTTTCCAAATGTTTAAGTGTTGACATCTTTTCAATTATAAATTCTGTTTTTAATTTGTTTCTGTCTTCTTGTATTTTGCTATCTGCAGTCAACAGATGTCAGGTTGCATGTTCAACACTTGCTTAGATATTCTTCTGCCAAATATCTGATTTCATCACTCAGAAGTTTCCTTCTTCCACAAAACAGTAGGGCACAAACATGATTCAGTTATGTTCTTTGAATCTTTGTAACAAGGATGGTCCTGGGATCTTGCAGGCTACCCTAGTCCCCTGGCTTTACTAGGCATTGTCCTAGTCTGGGTTCTCTTTGGTGGTTTCACCCCTGCGACTATTCTCTTCCTAGAACCTTAGGATCTCCAGGGAATTATCTGAAATTTATTTACAGTTAGCTATGCCCCCATAGCTGTTGCACTCTGTATACCGGCAGAATTGCCACCACTCAGATGCCGCCAGGTTTTACCACCTGTGTTCTCTCTGGATTGGTAGCTTCTATGGACCAGACTGCACATGTAACCACTTGAGCCACATCTGAGATGTCTGAAGAGAGATGTACCAGAATGTAGGGAGTAGAAAATTGAAGCAGCACTTGGCCCCAATTGTCAAGGTCCCATGAGCATCTGAGGAACCTATTTTGACACAGTTCTGTCCCCCAGGCCTTGGCACCTTAGTCCTGTGATGGAAGTGGTACAACCCGATGATCTCCAAAATATCTTTCTGATCATTCCTTTATTTTCTTGATAAATAGCCACTGGCTTCTTTCTATCCACACTAATCTCCTCATCAATGTTTGCTTAGCCACATCCTTGGTATTTTTTTCTGCAAAACACTCTTTTCATTTTTTACAACATGGACAGAATGACAATTTTCAAAATCATTAATTTCTGTTCCCTTTTATTATAAATTTCATCATTAATTTCTCTCTTATTACTCTTTGAATTTTACATTCTTTCATTCATATTATATAGTTCATACCTATCTTTTTGCATTTTACCATAAACAGTCAAGAAAAGCCATGTCATGCTTTCAATGCTTTGCTTATATATTTATTTTACCAGATATTCTGTTTCATCACTTGCAAATTTCTTATTCCACAAATTATTAGTACAAAACCCAATTTAGCCAAGTTTTTGCCAACAAGTATCACTTTTCTTCCAATTCCCAATAAAGTATTTCTTATTTTAATCTGAGCTGTCATTAGAATGGCCTTTAGCATACATATCTCTACCAAAATTCTGATCATGGTAAGTTAGGTAATCTCTTACGATATTTAGAAGTTCTCTACAGCTTCTTCTAAGCTCTCACAAAATTTGTCTTCAATGTTTCATTTATGGTATTATAGATTTTTCTAGCAATTACTTCCAAACTTTTCCAAATTTTTTTCCATTATCCAATCCAATTCTACTTTTATATTTTTAGGTATTTGTTAAGTTAGCACCCTACTCCTTAATACCAACTTCTGTCTTAGTCAGCTTGCCTGCTGTAACAAAATACCTTAGACTGGTTGATTTATGAATGACACAAATATACTGCTCACAATTATAGAGCCTAAGAAGGCCAAGATCAAGACACAAGCAGATTTGGTGTCTGGTGAGATATTGCTGTCTACTGAAAAGATAGTTCCTTCTTATGTCATCACATAGGGGAAGGGGCAAGTTGGGCTCTTCAAGGCTTTTCTGTAACTTCACTAACTACATTAATGAGGCTTTCATCCTCATGACCTAATCACCTCCTAAAGGCCCTACCTCTCAATACTATCACATTGAGCATTAGTTTCCAATGTATAAATTCTAGGAAAACATCAAAATTCAGATTATAGTACTACCCAAAGTGGGTTACATATTCAATGATGTTCCCATCATAATCCCAATGGCAATTTACACAGAAACAGAAAAAATTACAAAAATTAATATGAAACTACCAAATACCTCAATTGGTCATGGTAATTCTCTCCAGAAAGAACAAAGTTGGAGACATCCAACATCCTGCATTCAAATAATATTACAATCCTATAGTAATACAAACTGTATGGTACTGACATAAAACAGAAACATAAACCAATAGGACAGAATACACAGCCAAGAAATAAACCCATGCACATTTTATCAATTAATCTGCAATAAAGACACAAAGAATACACAATGAGGAAAGAATAGTCTCTCCAAAAATGGTGTTGGAAAAACTGGATATCTATATACAACAGAATAAAATTAGACATGTATCTCATACCCTACACAAAATTTAACTAGAGTATATTAAAGACTTAAACCTAAAGGTAGAAATTATTAAAACTCATAAAAATACATAGAAAAAATACTCATTGATGTTTGTCTTAGCAATAATATTATGAATAGGATGCCAAATGCACAGGCAAAAAATAAATAATAAAAAGTGGGATTACATCAGACTAAAAATATTTTGCACTACAAAGGAAACAATCAACAATGAAAAGGCAGCCTGTGGAATAGAAGAAAATATTAGCAAACCATATATCAGATGAAGGGTTAATATCCAAAGTATATAAGGATACATACCACTCAATGGCAAAAACCAAACAAACAAACATCAAATAACTCAAGTAAAAAATGAGCAGTGGAGGAGAACAGGTATTCCTCCACAGAAGAGATAGTCATGGCCAACAGTTATATGAAAAGGCGCTCAACATCACTAACTATCAGGGAAATGCAAATCAAAATGCAAAATGAGATATCACCTCACATCTGTTAGGATGGTTATTAGTAATAAAAAAATGTTATCAAGTGTTGCCAAGAATTTGGAGCAAAGGCAACCCTGAGAAAATGTTGCTGGGATTGGAAATTGGTGTGGTCATTATGGATAACAGTATTGAAGTTTCTCAAAAATGAAACTACCACATTATCCAGCAATCTCATTTTAGGGTACATATCCAAAGTAATTAAAATCCAGATTTGTTTTTACTTTTATTTTAGGTTTATGGGTATATATGAAGGTTTGTTACATAGGTAAACACATGTCATGGATGTTTTTTGTACATATTATTTCATCACCTAGGTATTTAGCTCAGTACCCAATCATTATCTTTATTGATCTTCTCCCTTCTCCCACCCTCTCCTCTCAAGTAGACCCCAGTGTCTGTTGTTTTCTTTTTTATGTTCATAAGTTCTTATCATTTAGCTCCCACTTATAAGTGACTACGTACAGTATTTAGTTTTCTGTTCCTGCATTAGTTTGCTAAGAATAATAGCCTCCAGCTCCATCCATTTTCCTGCAAAAAAACATAATCTTGTTCTTTTATATGGCTGCATAATATTCCATGGTGTATATGTACCACATTTTTACATACAATCTGTCAATGATGGGCATTTATGTAAATTTCATGTCTTCGCTCTTGTGAATAGTGCTGCAATAAACATTTCTGTGCATGTGTCTTTATGGTAGAATGATTTATATTCCTCTGGGTATATACCCAGTAATGGGATTGCTGGATTGAATGGTAGTTCTGCTTTTAGCTCTTTGAGGAATTGCCATACTGCAACCCATAATGGATGAACTAATTTACATTCTTACCAAAGGTGTATAAGTGTTCCCTTTTCACTGCAAACTCACCAGCATCTGTTATTTTTCTACTATATATTTATAGCAATTAAGACCGCTGTAAGATGGTATTTCATTGAGGTTTGGATTTGCATTTCTCTAATGATCAGTCATATTGAGCTTTTTTTAAAAATATATATACTTGTTGGTTGCACGGATGTCTTCTTTTGAAAAGTGTCTGTTCATGTCCTTTGCCCACTTTTTAATGGGCTTGTTTTTCTCTTGTAAATTTGCTTAAGCTCCCTAGAGACGCTGGATATTAGACCTTTGCCAGACGCATAGTTTGCAAATATTTTTTTCTGTTATGTAGGTTGTCTGTTTACTCTGTTGATAGTTTCCTTTACTGTGCAGAAGCTCTTTAGTTTAATTAGATCCCATTTGTCATATTTGCTTTGGTTGTGATTGCTTTTGGTATCTTTTGTCATGAAATATTTGCTGATTTCTACGTTCAGGATCATATTACCTAGGTAGTCTTCCAGGGTTTTATGGTTTTGGGTTTTACGTTTAAGTCTTGAATCCATCTTGAATTGATTTTTGTGTATGGTGTGAGGAAAGGGTCCAGCTTCAATCTTTTGCTTATGGCTATCCAGTTGTCCCAGCACCATTTATTGAATATGGAGTTTTATCCCCATTACTTGTTTTCCTCAGCTTTTTTGAAGACTAGATGGTCAAAGATGTGCGGCCTTATTTTTGGGCTTTCTATTCTGTTCCATTGATCTATACACCCACCCCCCCACCTTTTTTTTTCCAGTACCATGCTGATTTGGTTACTGTAGCCTTGTAGTGTAGCATGAAGTCATGTAGTGTGATGCCTCCAGGTTTGTTCTTTTTGCTTAGGAATGCCTTGGGTACTTGGGCTCTTTTTTGGTCTTATATAAATTTTAAAATAGTTTTATTTGGTCTTATATAAATTTTAAAATAGTTTTATTTGGTCTTATATATATTTTAAAATAGTTTTATTTGGCTCTGTGAAGAATGTCCTTGCTAGTTTGATAAGAATAGCATTGAATCTACAAATTGCTTTGGGAAGTAGAGCCATTATAATGATATTGATTCTTCCTATACATGAGCGTGGGATTCTTAAAAATTTGTTTACATGTTCTCTGATTACTTTTAGCAGTGTTTTGTAATTCTCATCGTAGAGGTGCTTCACCTCCCTGGTTAGCTGTATTTCTAGGTAAATTATTCTTTTTGTGGCAATTGTGAATGGGATTGCCTTTCTGATTTGGCTCTCAGTTTGTCTGTTGTTGGTGTATAAGAACGCTAGTAATGTTTGTAAATTTATTTTTGTGAATTTATTATGTATCCTGAAACTTCACTGAAATTGTCAGTGGGAGGATATTTTGGGCCAAGACTATATAGTTTTCTAGATATAGAATCATGTTGTCTGTAAACAGAGATTGTTTGACTTCCTTTCTTCCTATTTGGATGCCCTTTATTTCTTTCTCTTGACTGATTGCTTTGGCCAGGACTTCCAATATTATGTTGAATAGGAGTGGCGAGAGAGGGCATTCTTGTCATGTGCCAGTTTTCAACGGGAAAGTTTTCAGCTTTTGCTCATTTAGTATAAAGTTGGCTGTGGGTTTGTCATGGATGACTCTTACTACTTTGACATACGTTCCTTCGGTACCTAGTTTATTGAGAGTTTTTATATGAAGTGTTACTGAATTTTGTTGAAATCCCTTTCTTTGTCTATTGACATAATCATGTGTTTTTTTCTTTAGTTCTGTTTATGTGATAAATCACATTTATTGATTTGCATATGTTGAACCAATATTGCATCTCAGGAATGATCCCTACTTGGTTCTAGTGGATTAGATTTTTGATGTGCTGCTGGATTTTGTTTGATAATATTTTGTTGAGGATTTTTGTGTTGGTGTTCTTTGAAGATATTGGCCTAATGTTTGTGTGTGTGTGTGTGTGTGTGTGTGTGTGTGTCTGCCATGTTTTGGTATCAAGATGTGCTCGCCTCATAGAATAAGTTGTGGAGATGTCACCCCCTCTCAATTTTTTGGAGTCATTTCTGTAGGAATGGTACCAGCCCTTTTTTGTACATCTGGTAGAATTCGGCTGTGAACCACCAGGTCCCAGGCTTTTTTTGGTTGGTAGGCTATTTATTACTGATTCGATGTTGGAGCTCATAATTGGCCTGTTCAGGAAATCAATTTCTTCCTTGCTCAGTCTTGGGAGGATGTATGTGTCTAGGAATTCATCTATCTTTTCTAGATTTTCTAGTTTCTGTGCATAGAGGTGTTCATCATAGGTTCTTATGGTTGTTTTTATTCCTGTTGGGTGAGTAGTAACATTCTCTTCATCATTTCTAATTGTGTTTATTGGAATCTAGTATTTTTTCTTATTTATTAATCTAGCTAGTGGCCTATTTTAATAAGTTTTTCAATAACCAACTGCTGGATTTGTTGATCTATTGAATGCTTTTTTGTGTCTTGATTTCTTCAATGTAGCTCTGATTATGGTTATTTTTCATCTTCTGCTAGCTTTGGGGTGGAGTTGTTCTTGCTTTTCTAATTCATTTAGTTGTAAAGTTATGTTCTTAATTTGAGATCATTCTAACTTTTCGATGGGGGCATTTAGTGCTATGAATTTTCCTCTTAACACTGCCTTAGCTGTGTTTCAGTGATTCTGGTATGTTGTAAGTTTGTTCTCATTACTTTCAAAAAACTTTTTAATTTCTGCCTTAATTTCATTATTTACCCAAAGTCATTAAAGAGCATGTTGTTTAATTTCCATGTAATTGCATGGTTTTGAGCAATTTTCATTGTTTTGACTTTTATCTTTATTGTGCTGTGGTCTGAGAGTGTGTTTGGCATGATTTCTATTATTTTAGATTGTTTTATGTCCAATTATGTGGTCAATTTTTGTGTATGTACCATGGGGCGATGAGAAGAATGTATATTCTGTTGTTTTGGGGTAGAAAGTTCTGTAAAGGTCTATCAGATCCAGTTGGTCTAATGTTGAGTTTAGATCCTGAATATCTTTGTTAGTTCCCTGCCTTGTTGATCTATCTAATACTGTTAGTGGAGTGTTGAAGTCTCCTGCTATTATTATGCAGGAGTTCATGTTTCTTTGTAGATCTCTAAAAACTTGCTTTATGAATCTTGGTGCTCCTGTGTTGGGTGCATATACATTTAGTCTAGCCAGGTCTTCCTGTTGAATTGAACCTTTTACCACTATGTAATGCTTTTTTTTTTCTTTTTTGTCGGTGTATGTGTGTAATCTCTGATAGTTTGAAATCTGTTTGTTTGTTTTTTTTTTTTTTTTTTGAAATTAAAATTGCAATCCTTACATTTTTTTCTGTTTTTTATGTGCTTGGTAGATTTTCCTGCATGCCTTTATTTTGAGCCCATGGTTGTCATTACTTGTGAGATGGGTCTCTTGAACACAGCACATCACTGGCTATTGCCTTTTTATCCAGTTGTCACTCTGCATCTTTTTCTATTTCTATTTCTTTTTTATTCTTTCTTTTTTTTTTTTTTGGAGATGGAATTTTGCTCTTGTTGCCCAGGCTAAAGTGCAATGGTGCACTCTCGGCTCACTGCAACCTCTACCTCCCGGGTTCTTTTGCCTCAGGACAGTGATTCTCCTGCCTCAGCCTCCTGAGTAGCTGGGAATACAGGCATACACCACCACACCTGGCTAAATTTTGTATTTTTAGTAGAGATGGGGTTTCATGTTGGCCAGGATGGTCTCAAACTCCTGACCTCAGGTGATCCACCCGCCTCAGCCTCCCAAAGTGCTGGGATTACAGGTGTGAGCCACCATGCCTGGCCCCATTCTGCATCTTTTAAGTGGGGCATTTAGCCCATTTACATTCAATGCTAGTACTGACATATGTGGATTTGATCCTGTCATTGTGCTGTTAGCTGGTTATTATGTTGGCTTGTTTGTGTGGTTGCTTTATAGTGACACTGGTCTGTGTATTTTTATATTAGCTGGTAGCAGTTTTTTCTTTCTGCATTTAGTGCTCCTTTCAAGATCTTTTGTGAAGCAGGTTTGGTGGTCATGAATTCCCTCAGCATTTGCTTATCTGAAAATAATCTTTATTTCTCTTTCACTCAAAAAGCTTAGTTTGGCTGGATATGAAATTCTGGGTTGAATTTTTTTTTCTTAAGAATGTTGAATATGGGCCCCCACTCTCTTCTGGCTTGTAAGGTTTCAGCTGAGGGGTCCACTGTTAGCCTGATGAAGTTCCCTTTGTAGGCTGCCTGTCCTTTCTCTCTCCTTTTTTCATTTTGACCTTGCAATATCTGATGATTATGTGTCTTGAGGATGATCTTCTTATGTAGAATTTTGAAGCAATTCTCTGAATTTCCTGAATTTGACTACTGGTCCCTCTAGGAAGGTTGAGGAAATTTTTGTGGACAATATCCTGAAGTATGCTTTCCAAGTTGTTTGCTTTCACCCTCTCCCTTTCAGGGATGCCAGTGATTCAAAGATTTGGCCTCTTTACATAATCTTATACTTCTTGGAGGTTTTGTTTATTCCTTTTTATTCTTTCTAAACTTTTTTCTGAGTGTTTTATTTCAGAGAATCAGTTTTCAATTTCTGAGTTTCTTTCCTCAGCTTGGTTTATTCTGCTGTTAATACTTGTGATTGCATTGGGACATTCTTGTATTGTGTTATTCAGCTGTGTCACATGCATTAGTTTGATTTTTATACCAGCTATTTTATCCTTCAGCTTCTGTATTGATGAATCTATATTTATCATGATTCTTATCTTATTTGGATTGTGTTTTGCCATCTCATGAATCTCGATGATCTTTGCTCCTGACCATATTCTGAATTCTATTTTTGCCATTCAAACAAGTTGAGCTTAGTTAAGAACTCTTGATAGATAACCAGTGTGGTTGTTTGGAAGACATATGACACTATGGCCATTCAAGTACCTGGAGTCATTGCATTGGTTGTTTCTCATCTCTGCATGTCGGTATTTCTTTAACTGTCCTGTAGATTGAGTGAAGTCAACCAGCTATTTTTCTGGATGCTTTCACTGAGATGAGGCTTTGTGAAGGGTCTTTATTATAAGCTGACTTCTGGTCTCTGGTTTCAGAGTGGAGTTTATTAGTGAGGTACTTTTGGTGTTGAGACTTTGGGATGTGATCGAGAAGGTGGCATTTAGGTATATTGGTCAGTTGCTAGACTCTTGCATGGTTGTGGGCCTCCCTTGTTTTCTCACAGTTGCAACCATGTTTCCTCTCAATTCTCTGAAAGCGTGGGTTCCTCCCTGCCTTGATGGCTGGCTGTGGATCATGACTTGGCATTTCTGGGCTGCCCACTGCAGCTCTGGGGTGATCACAGTGGTTCAGTTCCTTCCCTAACTTGGAGGCAGCAGAGGAAGGGATCTTAGTAGTGGTTGTGGCTGAGTGTTGTTTGCTTGTTTCCGGGGAGCTCCACTCCAGAGAGATGCAGGTCAGCAATCATTCAGTGTGATCAGCCCAGGATGGAGGGTCCTTGCTGTGAGCCCAATCCAAGGGTTCTCTGCCTAGTGATGAGCAGTTGGCGGGGGGTGGAGGGGGCTGGGGCAGTGGAGCCTGTGAGAGACAGACTGGCCTCTTCCCCTTGGGTCAATGTCAGCTTATTGGAGGTGTGGATAAGTTAATTAGTGGTTTGATCCTTTTTTCTACTAAAAGCTGGGAAGGGTAGTGGGTGGGGATTGGGGATAGAAAATGGGTACAAAATAATTAGAAAGAATAAAACCTAGTATTTGATAGTACAGCAGGATAGCTACCATCCACATTAATTTATTGTATATTTTAAAATAACTACATGTATATAATTTGATTGTTTATAACACAAAAAAGAATAAATGTGTTAGATGATGGATACTCCATTTACCCTGATGTGATTGTAATAAATTTTATGCCTATATCAAAATATTTTAAGTACCCCATAAGTATATACACTTTCTCTGTACCCAAAAGATTATAATAAATAAATAAATTAATTAATTAATAGTGTTTATTCTTCCCACAAGAGCCCTTTTCCTCATATCAGCTAAGCCCGGAACCACTCACTCTTCAGTGCCTGCTCCTATTTGCTCCTCCAGGTTTCTTCCACAGTCTCTCACTCTGCATATCTGACATATGACCATGACAACCACTTTTTCCTAGTAATTATAAAAATAATAATAATCCTAACATATAATTTGCTAACTAATCATTTTATATCCTCAAACAACATAGCAGCCTGATTTGCCACCTTGATCTGGGCATGTTTTTAGTACACTTTAAAATTATACCAAGATATTTTTAGAAACTCTCAAAATTTAATATCTACTTTCTTGACCTATCCCATATAAGTAGAAAACTTAGTTATTGACTAGCTTTTAAGAACCCTTGAACTTCTATTTTTGTTCCTTCTTTTTACTCTCTGGGGTTTTCTATACTGTTTAGGGCAACTTATGTCCTGCTTTCTATGAACTGTCACTATCATCACAACAGTTTTCTCAACATAATGTCAAAATATCAGAGGGCCAATTATATTTTCTTTTTAATTTTCTGTATCTTATGATGTTTTGACATCTATCAGGAACTTATAGCCCTGGGGAGTGATGGCAGGAGGTGGTGGACAAATTGCCTAAAATACACCTTTCATGTGCATAAAGAAAATTCTGATTCCAACAAGTAACTGTTAGAGCTGGTAAAACAGATCAGCAAGTTTGCATAATATGACAACTATATAAAATTGTATTTTTTACACTGGCAATGAACAATTTGGTAATGGAATTAACAAAACATTTTCATTTGCAATATATAATAAGTAATAACTTTCTTAGGGATACATTTAAAAAAAAAAACAAAAAAATGGACTTGAATACTGCCATGTACCAGGAGTGGAAGACTTAATAGTGCTAAAATGACAACACTTCCAAATTGATCTGCAGATTCACCAAATTCCTATCAAAGTCCCAGCAGCCATATTTGCAGAAATTGGCAGTCTGTTCCTAAAAGCCACATGGAAATGCATGAGACCCAGAATTGTCAAAAAAAAGTTGCAAATGAGAAATTAAGGAGACAGACTTCTGAATTCAAAATTTATTACAATATACAGTAAGTAAGACAGTATGACACTGGGATCTGGATAGACATAGATCAATTAAAGTTGACAGTCAAGAAATAATAATGACAACTGATTTTGACAAGCATTCTAAGACAATCAAACGGGAAAAGTACACTCTTTTCAACTAATAGTCATGGGATAACTGAATATCTACATGTAAAATGACGAAGTTTAACCACTACTTCACACCATACACAAAATATTCATAATGGGTCAGGTATCTAACTGTAAGAGCTAGAACTATAAAATATGTAGAAGAAAATATAAGAGTAAATGTCACCTTGGAATAGGCAACGGTTTCTTTACTATGGAACTAAAAGCAAAAGCAACAATAAAGAAACAGAATATTTTTAATAAAAATATAAAACATTTCTTCCTCAAAGGATACTATAATGAAAATGAAAAGACTATTCACTAAATGTGAAAAATATTTGTAATTTATATATTTAATAAAAATCTTGTATACGAAATATAAAAGTACTGTTTTGTTTTTTTTTCAGTTGGAGTTTCGCCTATGTCACCCAGGCTGGAGTGCAGTGGCGTGATCTCGGCTCACTGCAACCTGCACCTCCTGGGTTCAAGCGATTCTCCTGCCTCAGCCTCTCAAGTAGCTGGGATTACAGGTGCCTGCCACCACATCCAGATAATTTTTTGTATCTTTAGTAGAGACAGGGTTTCATCATGTTGGCCAGGCTGCTCTCGAACTCCTGACCTCAGGTGATCCACCTGCTTCAGCCTCCCAAAGTGCAGGGACTACAGGTGTGAGCCACCTAACCTGCCCTAAAAGTACTCCTAAAATTAAACAATTACAATACAAATGACGGTATTAAAATGAGCAAAGGATTTTTTCTCACACTTTTCTTTAAAGAAGATGTGCAAACAACTAAAAAGCCATGAAAGATGTTCAATATCAGTCATTAGAGAAATGCAAATTTCCAATTGTCTTGGAACTCAGATTTTGGGAGGTGTCTCACCTTTATCTAACTGATAATAGTGGTTCACTGTGGCTAACCTGTTTGTGCAAATACTATGCTTTGTGATGAACATATGGCACTCTGGAAGGTGCAATTGTGGTTTGTTCTAGGCAGTGTGTGTATACGTTACTGACCCCCAATATAAGCCCTTGTGTCCTAGAATCAGGCAAGTTTGCCTGGTAGAAAGCATTTTATATGTGCTGTCACAATTAGATGCTAAAGGAATTAAGCCTGTCTCATGTAACTGCATGAGGTGGGTCAAGGGGTGGGGGTGAAGGGCTCTTAGAAGATTGTGCCTGATTTTCCACGGACTTCACCCCCTGTGCCTTTATCCTTCAGTAATTGTGCCTTTCATCCCTTCACCATAATAAATCATATCTGTCAGTATGACTGTAGGTTAAGTCTTGTAAGTCCTACTAGTGATTCATTGAACCTGGGTGGCAGTGTGGGATTTGTTAGAGTGACCCTGATTCTGTGAAATATGTCAAAAACTTTGGGAAAAAAGAAGCAATTGAGAGGGGATGGTGAACCTTTCCTGCCTGGGTGGCTACGGAGGTACATTTAGTACAAGACAGCAGCTGAATTCTGCTTATTATGAAAAATAAAAGTTATACATGACATCCTAAAATGTTAGATTCAACCCCAGAAGAGTTTGCTCATAGCATCCCCTGGCTGCTTTTGAATGTGTGGGGTGGGAGGGAAGATCAGCTTGTGTGATATCTTTTGTTCTATCTCCCATGTTGGAGGAAAAAAGGCCTAAGCATTCCCAAAGAGAACTTTTGCTGGGCCAAAAATGTTAAAAATGTGTGTCACTCTCTTTTCCAAGTAGGAGAGAAAAAGGTTAAATCAGTTGCCAGAGACGGAACAAAGTTTTGTAAACCAAAGAAAGGGAAAACAGGAAATACTCTACCAGCTGTTGCACTGCAGCCCCCCATACCCCACTCAAGGTCTGGCAGTAATTTCTTCTGGCAGCAATAATATTAATCTTGTAAATGCTAAATTTACTTATAGAGATTTAGACGAACTTTCAATGAAAGTGAGAAAAAAAATGTAATGGCTTTGTATTTTGTGGCCATTGCATCTAGATATATAATAAATATTCATGCAAAATATTATGTTTTTTTCATTCAATAAATGTTAAGGAGATGTCCCAATCAGAGAAAAATGCAAAGAAAAATGTTAATGGGGCACCACTATCTTGCTTTTTGCCCGTGGTGGGTGGGTTAAAATTTAACTTATTTGAGTATTGGAAACAAAATAATCTCTACCAGTGATAATGTTTGCTTTCATTTTTCCCTTTTCAGAGCCCCTGAGGAAAGGAAGACAACAAAAAGGAGAGTTAATTTATAGATAAAGATACACTTTTGGAGTTATAAGAAGTAGTTCTCAGTGGCCAGTGAACTTTTCTAAAATCATATGCGTGACCTTTAATGGCTAATGGTTTTCCAGCCTAATGAGAATATTTTTAAATGAGTCAATTTCAACTCTAACAATGACAAAATGAAAATAACTTATAAAAATATTGCCTGCCACTTGGACTTGGAACGTGCCTATCTAGACCTTCTGGAGCATTTCAGCTTTGTTGCAGCCAAAAAAAAAAAAAAAAGCCTATGGGTTTTTGGAATCTTAAATTCACAGATCTTTATTCCTTAATACCTAACTCTAAGCTAAAACCTGATACTGTCTACATGCTTTATTTCAGCTTCAGTAAAGCTGTGGTGAAACAAAAGCAGCCATAAATTTAATGAACAGGACATCAACTCTGGGATTGTTGCAGATATTGGCAAACACTTCCCTTTGGCCACAAACTATAAAAGCATCAGAGATGCTAGCTGGATAATCTGGGTCACTTACAGGTAACCACAGACAGGGCTTATTATTTGATAGAATTATTTGAAATTGAGCTTCTTGGTGATTATATCTTTATTTCTGACACAAAGACTCAGTATATTCTTAGCTTATGATTACTGTTGAAAGCTGCAAGTAGAGGGAAGGAACATCACAAGGAATGTGACTCCTTTACCCATTCCTAATGGGTTAGGATCTCAACTACCTCCTGGGAACAACTAGATGCTGTTGATTAGTTGTGTTCAGCTTTCCAAGTTAGTTACAGGTTGCAACAGTAGACTCCACTTTCACCTCTCTGGGTACATAAATCTTAGTAAAACAATTTGATTGTTAAATGCAGCCGTCCCCAGAAAGAGATTGATCTCTTATAGGCTGTTCACTAGATAAAAGAACAGGACAAGAGGTGAAATTTTATGAATATTCAGAATTTTGACCTTGCCAATTCCTGAATATGGTGTGTCTTTTTGGTTTGGTTGTATTAAAATATTTTTCTACCAAAATAATTTTGTACTTCATGCATACGATCCCTCCAGAATAAATGTCTAGGGGACAGTATGGGATAATTAAAAAAAATGAAAAGTGATGATTGCCAAGTGGGACATTGATTTTGTAACAAGGACAAAACAAAATTTGGGCACCTAACGAGGCATGGAAGAGGGAATGAGCATTAATGATCTTTCTTTTAAAAACTACTCCTAAAAGCTTTCCCTTTCTCCTAAAGAAAGATGTCTGTGCTGCCTTTCCAAGATGTTCAGAGTGCTTTAAATTCAAACTGACAGCTGAGTCTACAACTGACAGCTTGCTAACTATGAAAAAGAAGGAGGTGGCCTTAGCTCCTGTAATTTTTATGAAGAACACCTCCAGATGTTGTCTACACACATGCAATGGATAAACTGATGTCATGAACAAGGAAAATTGTTAAAACTGACTGCTTTCAGGCACTCTCTCTGAAACCAAGGACAGAATTAAATCAAATGGACTGGGCTGGGAACCGTAGAGGAGGAAGCCCCATGGTGGGAGGCCACATTGGCCCTATTAACCTATTCTACATGACTAACATATATCTTGTTTGGATTACCTTAACAATTGTAAAGTCTTTATTTTCAGGGATACCATGTGTGACCTCTGAGATTGTATTTCTTGTGCATACCCTAACTATCATGATGCTGCCTCAGACCTGGAAGGTTTTTGGGTCAACTTCAACTTACTGGCTAGATTTGTGCTGTGCCTGACTTGATTCTTCATGCTAGGTTAAAAAAAAAAAAGCTAATGCAAAAACTTAAGTAGAAAGCCAACTGGATTTCTAAGATAGACCTTTATGGTTACTGATACTCATTTTTGCTAGCAAAATCCAGGACCCTAAAGAGGTAACTGAAATCAGTACTGAGATTGGTTTCACTCTGTTGCATGAGATACTCTGATAATTTTGTTGTAAAGATGTTTTCCTTGACCAAGTCGAAGGGACAGGAGCCCAGGAGATGGACTGTGCAAAAAAGAGTTAACATGGCAAGCCTGAAACTGCTAACATTAGAAAGGTCTACTTGCAAGGCTGGCCCCTACTGACATCTGAAATCTTCTATTTCAGAGCGTTCCCACCATTCCCTAACTGATAAGAATTGCCCACTATGCCTAAATATTTTGTACATACAATATGATTTATGCTGAACAACTGATTTACTTCTGGGAATCTGAAATTTGGGTATGTTGCCTATGTAACTCTTTGTAAAAAACATTAGATTCTTAGGCTTAGATAAATTTCCCTGATAGGCAGTATTTCACTTGTGTTGTCACAATTGCATGTTGGAAGAATTTACTCTTCTCTGTGTGACTCCATGAAATGAGGGCTCTGGGAAGCTTATATGTGGTTTCCTCTGAACTTGATGACACATGATAAACATAGAGCTACTTTATAATGCAGCAGTTTCACTACTAGATTTATTCATAAAAGACAATGTACACATATACAAAAACTTGTCCATGAGTGTTCACAGCAGCATTATTCATAAGAGTCAAAAAGTAGAAACAACCCAAATTTCCATCATCTGATAAATGAATAAACAAAATGTGATGTATTTATATGATGAAATATCATTAACAATAAAAATGAAAACATTACTGATAAATGATGCATCATGAATGAAACTTAAAACCACTATACTAAGTGAAAGAAATCAGTTACAAGATAATTTATTTGTGATTTCATTTATATGAACTGACCAGAATAAACAAATTTATAGAGGCAGAAAGTGGTTGCCTAGGGCTGGGGTGGAAAGCAAGAGAAAATGACTGTTAATGTGATTTCTTATTTTTGAGATAAACATGTTCTAGTAGTTTGTGGTTGTTGCACCACTTTGGAAACTGACTCAAAACCAGTAAAGTGTGCACTTTAAAAGAGTAAATTTCATGGTATGCAAATTACATCTCAATAAAGCTGCTAAAATTTATCCCAAGTGAAATATATTTGTACAGTCTAACTCAAGTATGTATAAAAATTCAATTTGTAGGTAATAAGATAAAGTATTCAAAGACCATTCAGGAGAGAGAAACAACACTGATTATTGGAACAGAGAATTTTATATAAAGAATTAACATTTAAAGTTGTTAATGAAGTAAATGAATATGTAAAAAAGAGCTCTAAAGTGTCTCAGAGGTAGTAAAAGCAGAAAGCAAATATCAACTCTAAAATTGCGGAGCAAAGAGAAGAGGTAGAATTATCACAATTTAGAAAATTAGAGGAGGGTCCCAAGGCAGCTGAAACAGACCTCTGATGAGAGAGTTTTGCCTACCTTGGGCTTTTGTCTCTGAAGTGGATGTGAGGGGAATGAAAAACCTGATTCTGCAAGTGTTGAAGAATCTGCAACAGGATTCAACAGTTGCTATGAATGAAATAGCTATGCTAAGGTGATGCTCACAGGAACACAAAATAGGAAGACAGACTCTCTTTTTTTGTACTCTAGCCTTGCGGTTTATTTCAAGTGCCCTTGTAGGTGAAGCATTAACAAATACCAGCTGGCAAAACAGAAATGTGATTTGAAGAATTCCAGGTTCAGCGTTACTAAACTGATTACAGTCGAATGGGTTTCGAGTTGAAGACATTAGCTGAATAACTGAGGCATAGGCTATCACACTAACTTAATAATTAAAGGCAGAACTGTGATTCATTCCAAAAATTGAAAGCTATGGGTTTAAATTTGCTAATAATTTCACTTGTCTAATATAGTGTAGATAGAAATGGATTTCATTTCCTGATTTTGTCTAAACTTGCTGTTGTTGCATTTTTCTTACTTTACATGAGTGGCCTTCTGCACACAGGCTAATTATTTGCTTAAGTTCCACTAAAAATCATGATAAAGTCTTGTACTTATGAGTAATTCATATGGCCTGCATTGGTTTTATATGCTTTATTTAATTCATGATTTTGCTATCTATTCATAAAGCCACAAATCAAATTACAATAAAAAATAGCTTGAAGTTGTAGAATAATTTTGCCAGAGATCATAAACTGCACGTTCGTAGTAAACATTTTTGAATGTAAATCACCTAGTTACCTGTGTTCTACCTGTGTTCTACTTATTCTGCTTAAGTCTATAGAGTACATTTGGAAACACTGGATGATTTTTAAATTTTTCCATGTGTGAAGTGTTTCCTTAGCTGAACAGAAAGATTTTTTTAAAGGAGGAAATTCATGAATTTTAAATTGAGATTTCTGTCAATGTTTTTTTCCTCTTCATAACAGTACAGAGAAAGCTGGTAAGATGGACTAGTTAATGAACCTTTTCCCACAAGCTGTAGAAGGATAATAAGATTCTTGTTTAAGACGAAAGAAACATAATATATTCAGAATGTAACTTTAATATTTGAACAAATAGAAAAATATGTACAATAAACATTTGGTTTTATAGAGGGAATTGTGTCCACCACCAAAATTAATAATTGAAGATCTAATCCCAATATGACTATAGGTAGAGAAAGGACCTTTCAAGAGGTAATTAATGTTAAATGAGGTCATAAGAATGCAGCCCTAATCCAATAGGACTGGTGTCCTTATAAAAAGAGGAAGAGATATCAAGAATGTCATGCACAGATAAAAGGCCATCTAAGGACACAGTGTGAAGTTGCCTGTTCATAAGTGAAAAAGAGAGGCCTGAGTAAAAAACCAAGCCTTCTGACACCTTTTCGTTGGACTTCTAGGCTCCAGAAATGTGAAAAAAAATAAATTTCTGTTGTTTAAGCCACCCAGTTTGTGGTATCTTGTTATGGCAGCCCTGGCAGATTTACACATTGTTTATTTCTTCTTCAAGAAGGCTTACAAAGAACTTTTTGACACACATTGGACAAACATACGTTAAGATCAAGTTATTAGCAGTACACTCATGCATAATGCAGGTTTTAAAAGCTAAGCCTTTACAGTTGTGGTTTACAAAAATGACTGCCCCTTAAAATTGTTTGAGATCTTTTAAAATTCTGATGACCTAGACTTCTGATTTCCTGCGTGATATATAAGGAGCTTGGAAATTGCCACTCTTTCCTAACAAGTAAAAAGCTAAACGATCTGAAAAATCAGCATTTCTTCTTAGATCCATTAGAAAAGTGAGATCACACAGAAAACTGTTGCACCCCAAATTGGAAAGACAGACAGCGGGATACAAAAAAATTATAACTTACCAGAGCAGAAACCTCTATGGAAGCCAGTGTTGGGGTAGTAAAACCTTAACTGTACTTAATAAATTGCAGGAGGCTCAGTAGGAAAAACTTTGAGAGTTAAAACTTCCAGGGAGCCTCTGTACTTTTGTGAGTTTTACCTCCTGTTTCTCTATCTAGATTTTCACAATGAATCTTGCGGAAAAATCACCCCAGGCCCTGTCACGGGGCGCAGAAAGGGAACCATTTTGGAAGTCCCTACAGCATTCCTTTTATTTTAAGCAAGGTCTTCCCTCAAGAGAAACTGTTTTAGCAGAATCTAACCACTTGGAGTTTTGTCAGAGTCCAATCAATCTAAAGGAATAAAAATATTGAACTTCAGCCTAGTCTGTCCTTCCACAGAGGGGAAGGGAAATACCAAAATCCAGCACCTTCCATTCATCCTCCTTCACCTAAGGCAGGAATAAAAATTTGAGGCATTTGTGAAGTTCACAGCCCAAGTGCACAGGCTCACTAAAAGCCTAAGACTTAATCATGACACCATAAAATGCTTCCCTCCACTCATACCTTACCACAAAATTAATAAATGCCTATTTACTGGAGTTTCTTTCACCAGTACATTATGTCTAGCTTTCAAAAACAATTATGAAGCATACTAAAAGACGAAAAAAAAAAAACCCCAGTTTGAAAAGACACAGCAATCAACAGAATCAGACTCAGATATGGCAGTGATGTTTAAATAATTAGACTGTGAATCAAAAACAACTATGATTAACATGCTAATGGTTCTAATGCAAAAAGTAGACTACATGCAAAAAAAGAGGGTAATGTAGGCAGAGAGAAGAAAATTTTAAGAAAGCAGAAAAAATTCTAGAGAGCAGAAGCACTGTAAAAAATAAAGAATGCCTTTGGTAGGCTTAGAGTAGATTGGATGGAGCTGAGGGAAGCATCTCTGAGCTCAGGGATATCTCATTGGAAATTTTTTTTTTTTTTTTGAGACAGTCTTGCTCTGTCACCCAGGCTGGAGTGCAGTGGCATGATCTTGGCTCACTGGAACCCCCGCCTCCTGGGTTCAAGCAATTCTCCTGCCTTAGTCTCCTGAGTAGCTGGGATTACAGAAGCACGCCACCATGCCTGGCTGATTTTTTTTTTTTTCGGTATTTTTAGTAGAGACGGGGTTTCGCCATTCTGGCCAGGCTGGTGGGGTTTCACCATGCTAGCCAGGCTTGTATCAAAGTCCTGACCTCATAATCCACCGGCCTCGGCCTCCCAAAGTGCTGGAATTACAGGTGTGAGCCACTGTGCCCGGCCTCAATAGAAATCTTAAAAAATAAAAATCAAGGAAAAAACTTTGCATAAAAAGCAGAATAGACTATCCAAGAACTGTGGAACAACTACAAAAGGTATAACATATGCGTAACACAAATACCATAAGGACAAGAAACAGAGAAAGGAACCGAAGCAATATTTAAGGCAATAATGATGGTGCCTTTTCCCAAAATTAATGTTGGACACAAAACCATAGATTTGGGGAGTTCAGAAAACAACAAACAGGATAAATACAACAAAAAATACTAAATGTAAGCATATTGTGATAAATCTACAGAAAAGCAAAGATAAAGACAAAGTATTGGAAGAAGCCAGAATTTAAAAAATATAATAATAATAAAAAATAAAAAAATAAAAAACACCTTTCTTACAGAGGAGCAAAAGTGAAGCAGAATTAAAGACATTATTAGACATATAAAAGTTGAGCAGACTTGTGGCCAGTAATCTTGCCTAAACAGAAATGTAAAAAGAAGTTTTTCAGAGAGAAAAAATATAACATATTTTAGAATCTCAGATCTACATGAAGAATGGAAGAATATTAGAGAAGGAATGAGAGAAGGTAAAATAAAATCTTTTCTTTTTGTCATGCTTAATTGATCTAACAGATAATGGTTTGTTCAAAATAATAACAACCGTGTATATGATGATTGTAGCTTATGTTTGAAATAAATGACAATAGTGATATAAGAGATAGGAAAGAGGAATTATAAATATTTTGTCATTATAAAGTACATGCACCCCCTGTGAAGTAGTACACTGTTATTTAAAAGTGAACTTAAGGCCAGGAGTGGTGGCTCACGCCTGTAATCCCAGCACTTTGGGAGGCCGAGGCAGGTGGATCACAAGATCAGGAGTTCAAAACCAGCCTGGCCAACATGGCGGAACCCCGTCTCTACTAAAAGTACAAAAATTAGCCAGCTGTGGTGGCGGGAGCCTGTAAATCCCAGCTACTCAGGAGGCTGAGGCAGGAGAGTCTCTTTAACCCAGGAGACGGAGGTTGCAGTGAGCCGAGACTGTGCCACTGCACTGCAGCCTGGGGGACAAGAGAGAGACTCCATCTCAAATAAAATAAAATAAAAATAAAAGTGAATTTAAATTAGTAGCAAGTTTATCTTTCAAACCCTAGAACAACCAATATAAAAAGTTAAAAAAATCATTTTAACTGATATGCTAAGACACAAAGAAAATGAAATTATACAAAATACTTAATTAAAAACACAAAAGGCAAAAAGGGGAAAGACAATAATAGTAACAAAAAACATGAGTAACAAATAGAAAATAATAGTAGACATGTTAGATATTAATCCAAGTATATCAATAATCATTTTGAATATCAGTGGCCTAAATGTGTCAATTAAAAAACAGAGATTATCAGACCCAACTATATATTGTCTACAAAAGTCTAATCAAAATATAAATACACATTGATTAAAAGTAAATGGAAAAAATACATAGCATTCTAACACTATCAAAAGAAAATGAAAATGGCTATATTAATTTCAGAGAGAGCAGGCTTCAGAGCAAACAATGCTATCAGTGATAAAGTGAGGTACTATATAGGATAAAAGGTGACTTCTCCAAAAAGACATAACAATCCTCATTGTGAATGTGCCTAAAAACAGAACATCATAATGTGTGAGGCAAAAACTGATAGAACTTGTACGGATAAATGGATGAATCTGCTATTATATGTAGAGATTTTTAAACGTCTTTATCAGTAAAGGACAGCTAAAGCAGGCAGAAAATTAGTAAGAATGTATTTGACCTCAACAGTGGCATTAATCAATGGGATATAATGTACATCTATAGACTGGTTCACACAACAACAGCAAGAACACAACAGTCTTTTAAAGCTCCGGTGGAACATTTACCAAGATAGACTGCATTCTGGGGAATAAAACACACTTTAATAAATTTAAAATAGAATAAGTCACACAATACCTACTTCCAGACAAAATATAAGTAAAGTAGAAATCAATAACTGAAAGATAGCTGGAAAATTCCAAAATATTAGGACACTGTCTGTATTAGTCAGGGTTCTCTAGCAGGACAGAACTAACAGGATAGACAGATATATATGAAAAGTTTATTAAGTATTAACTCACATGATCACAAGGTCCCACAATAGGCTGTCTGCAAGCTGAGGAGCAAGGAGAGCCAGTCCGAGTTCCAAAACTGAAGAACTTGGAGTTTGATATTCAAGGGCAGGAAGCATCCAGCATGGGAGAAATATGCAGGCTGGGAGGCTAGGCCAGTCTAGCCTCTTCATGTTTTTCGGCCTACTTTATATTCTAGGTGTGCTGGCAGCTGATTAGATGGTGCCCACCCAGATAAAGGGTGGGTCTGCCTTTCTCAGCCCACAGGCACAAATGTTAATCTCCTTTGGCAACATCCTCACAGACACAGCCAGGATCAATACTTTGCATCCTTCAATGCAATCAAGTTGGCACTCAGTATTGACCATCACAAGTCCACCCCTTGTCAACTTGAACCCATACACATCTCCTGAGATCATATATAACCTTCAAATAAAGATAATAATAAGGTCAAAAGGATGCCTAACATAATACAACTATGCTTCGTACAACTAGAAATGCACCAATCCCTAACCCAAATGCTATTACATAAAGTTAACAATATTCAAATGCTGATGAAGTCAATAAATCTTATGTGATATAATAAAGGAAAAAGAACATAAAATGAGGATATATTCTTAATACAAGTGTATACATGCACAAATTTGTTTTTAACAAAAGAAGGAGGAAAATTACAGTCTTCATTTCTGTAACTAGTCACGTGATCATAGCTGGTATTGCTGACTACTTTCTTCTACTACCCATTCTGTACTCCCTTTTCCTTTAGCAAACACCTCAGCAGGTTGTGGTTTTTTTCTTGATGGGGTGACCCAAGCCTTCATTCCTAAAGGGTCTGGGCCATTTGTAGTCCTGCCTGGATTGGGCTGTTGTACTTTCCCATTGATCTTAATCACAGAGTACGGTAATACTAAGAGACACCCTAATGAATTTCCTGTATTGCATGCATAGTCTTCTTTACCTCCGTTGTGGAGTAGTAGACTGATTTCATCTTGATAATCCGAGTCACCCCAGCCAATAGTGTAACTCCCTTTTTAGCCTGTTGATTTAAAGGTTAGAGGAGCCCAAAGTGTTCTAGTGGAAATCTTAACTTCCTGTTTAATGGAATTGTTTTTGTGTCTCCTGGTGTCAGCGTTCTTTTCTCTGGAACTAAGACCTTTAGACCAGCAGAACCTAATGTCACGGGAACAGGAAGCAAAAATTTTGCTAGTGGATCAGTAGGTGTTATGGTGAGTGGTACCACTTCCACTTCCACCCTATGATTCCTGGATCCATGAGCCCTGGCTATGGGAGAAACAGTACCGTATACTGGATGCTGATTCAGAGCATATATGGCCTTCTGGAGAACTTGCCACAACATGCAATGTATTGTCACCTAGTTGGCATTGCAATTGTGATGTCAAAAGGCCATTCCACCGTTTTATCAATCCGGCTGTTTCAGGTTGATGGGGAACATGGTAACCAGTGAATTCCATGAGCATGAGCCCATTGCCACACTTCTTTAGCTGTAAAGTGAGTGCCTTAGTCAGACGCAATGCTGTGTGGAATACCATGACGGTGGGTAAGGGATCCTGTGAGTCCATGAATGGTAATCTTGGAAGATGCATTGTGTGTAGGATAAGCAAACTCATATCTACAGTAACTGTCTATTCCAGTGAGGAAAAATCTCTGCCCTTTCCATGATGAAAGAGGTCCAATATAATCAACCTGCCACCCGGTAGGTAGCTGATCACCCTGAGGAATTGTTCAACATTGAGGTCTCAGTGTTGGTCTCCGCTGCTGGCAAATTGGACACTGAGCAGTAGCTGTAGCCAGGTCAGCCTTGGTGAGTGGAAGTACATCTTACTGAGCCCATGCATAACCTCCATCCTTGCCACCATGGCCACTTTGTTCATGAGCCCATTGGACAATGACATCAGGGGCTGGGGAAAGAGGCTGAGCGGTGTCCACAGAATGAGTCATCCTATCCACTTGATTATTAAAATCTTCCTCTACTGAGGTCACCCATTGGTGAGAACTCACATGGGATACAAGTATCTTCAGTTTTTGACCACTCACAGAGGTCTATCCACATATCTTTTCTCCAAATTTATTTGTCACCAATTTTCCAATCATGCTTCTTACAAGTCCCTGATCATGCATCCAAACCATTGGCTACAGCCTATGAATCAGTATATAATTGTACATCTGGCCATATCTTCTACCAGATGCACTGCTCAAAGTTCTGCCTACTGGGAAGATTTCCCTTCACCACTCTCCTTCAGGGATGTCCTAGAAAGTGGCTGTAGTACTGCAGCTGTCCACTTACGGGTGGTGCCTGCATATCCTGCAGGACCATCTGTGAAGCAGGCCCTAGTCTTCTCTTCCTCTGTCAACTGATCATAGGGAACTCCCCATGAGGCCACTCTGGCAGGCTGGGGGAGAGAAGGCAGAGTGGCAGGAGTGGAGAACATGAGCATTTGAGTCACCTCCTCATGTAAGCTACTTGTGCCTTCAGCACCTGAGCAAGCCCAGTCACATATATGCCACTTTTATTTGATGATGGAATGCTGCTGTACCCAACCCACTTTATGGCTAGATTGGTCAGGAAGCACCCAATTCATTGTAGGCAGTTCAGGTTGCATGGTGGCTTGATGACCCATAGTAAAACGATCAGTTTCCACCAAACCCCAGTAACAGGCCAAGAACTGTTTCTCAAAAGGAGAGTAGTTATGTGCAGATGATGGCAGGGCCTTTCTCCAAAATCCTAGAGGCCTCCACTGTGATTCACCTAGGGGGCCTGCCAAGGGCTCCAAACAGCATCCCTATCTGCTACTGACACCTCAAACACCATTGGATCTGCTGGGTCATATAGCCCAAATGGCAGAGCAGCTTGCATAGCAGCTTGAACCTGTTGCGGAGACTTCTCCTGTGGATTCTCTGGACTCCACTCAAAACTAGCAACCTTTCAGGTCACTCAATAAATGGGCCAGAATAACACACCCAAATGAGGAATGTGTTGTCTCCAAAATCCAAACAGACCCGCTAGGCATTGTGCCTCTTTCTTGGTTGTAGAAGGGGCCAAATGCACCAACTTATCCTTCACCTTACACCACCGGGCCCTTAGAAATTTTACTGAGGTGAAAGGTGCCTGCCTTTTTGCCATCCTCTTGCATGCACATGTCTTACCAGTAAATCCAGTGTGTTTGCTACTTCTTGCTCACTGGATCCAATAAGCATAATGTCGTCAATGTAGTGAACCAGTGTGATATCTTGTGGAAGCAAAATGTGATCAAGGTCTCTCCGAATAAGATTATGTCACAAACCCGGAGAGTTGATATACCCCTGAGGTAGGAAAGTAAAAGTATATTGCTGGCCTTGCCAGCTGAAGGCAAATTGCTTCTGGTGAGCTTTATAGACAGGAATGGAGAAAAAGACATTTACCAAGTCAATGGCCGCATACCAGGTACCAGGAGATGTGTTAATTTGCTCAAGCAATGAAACCACATCTGGTACAGCAGCTGCAATTGGAGTCACCACTTGGTTAAGCTTATGATAATTCACTGTCATTCTCCAAGATCCATCTGTCTTCTGCAAAGGCCAAATGCTTGATTTGAATGGGGATGTGGTGAGAATCACCACCCCTGTTTCTTTCAAGTCCTCAATGGTGGCACTAATCTCTGTAATAGCTCCAGGGATGTGATATTGTTTTTGAATTACTATTTTTCTAGGTGGAGGCTGCTCTAATGGCTTCCATTTGGCCTTTCCCACCATAATTTCCCTCACCCTACCAGTCAGTGAGCCAATGTGGGGAATCCGCCAGATGTTAAGTATATCTATGATAATTTTGCATTCTGGCACTGGGGAAATGTTCACAAGATGAGCCCTAGTACACACTGGACCCAATGTAAGTTAGACCTAAGCTAAAACTTCATTAATTACCTGACCTCCATAAGCTTCCACTTTAACTGGAGGACCACAATGATGTTTTGGGCTCCCTGGAATCAATGGCAGTTCAGAGCCAGTGTCCTGTAGTCCCCAAAATGTCTGATCCTTTTTTTCCCCATTGCACAGTTACCCTGGTAAAAGGCCTGCAGTCTTCTCAGGGAAGGATGGGAGAAAGATTAACAGCATAAATTGCCAGCAGTGTAATGAGGTCTTTCCTCAAGGGGACACAGCTTCCCCTTCATTCAAGGGGTTCAGTGTCTGTAAACTGGCTCAATTCTGGAAATTGATTGAGGGACCATGATTCTCTGTTTTTATAATTCAAATTAGTATTCTGCCCATTAGACCTAAAAGTTTTTTCCTTATATAAATTAAGTAGAAATGCAGTAGGCTTCCTATCAATTTCACTTCTAGGAAGACCGTGACTAGTTAGTCAATTCCAGAGCTCTACACGAGTCAGTCTATGCTGATTGCCATTTTGCCTCTGCTGTCCCTTACAATAGCTATGCCCACCTTGCCTTTGATGGTTGAGTGCTGCCACTTGGCTCCTGTCACATGAGGACCCAAATATTCCCATTGTATTTAAATTTTGTAGTTGAGAGAATGTGGTTCCCACAGTTAGATCTGACATAAAGAGAAGAGCAGTTAAAGGGCTCTTCAAAGATGCAGGTGCTGCCTTCACATATCTATTTAACAAGGTGTTGGTCAAGAGTATATGTTCTGGACCTTCCATGCTGAGAGGAGTAGGTCTAAAGTGACTAATCCACTCCACCATCCCAATCTTTTTAAGCCTTTGGATCCCTTCCTCTACATTAAACCAAGGGAGATCAGGCATTTTCAGCTCGCTCACAGTGGGCCATCTTTTAATCCATATTTCAGCTAACCAAGCAAATTAACTACTAAAACCTTTTTTTTTTAACTCCCTGAGTTGCAACATTAAAAAAAGAGTCCCTAGTTAGTGGGCCCAAATCAACAAATTCAGTCTGATCCAACTCTATTTTCCTTCCACCATTATCCCACACCCTTAATATCCATTCCTATGCCTGTTCTCCAGGTTTCTGTTTATAAATTAGAAAAATCAAGCAGTTCTTTTTGAGTATGGCACATCTCCTCATGGTCACACTCTCAACCTCACCACTAGGGGCTCTCCGGGACTTTAGTCTAGTTATAGGTCTAGAAGCAAACATGGGTGTAGGGGGTGGCTTCTGAGGAGAATCAACATTATCTTGCCTGGTAACTGCCTCAGGGGAGGCCATCACTGTTGTCTCAGGCAGCACAGGATTTATCTCCTCAGACAAAGGTGGAAAGGCTGATGGTAGCATAGGTTGCGGAGTGGATGTTGCCACTACTGGGGATGGGGATGCTGTTTCTTCTGGCAAAAAAAAGTTAATCAGAGTTTACAAACTCAGTGTCCCCAGCTTCATCAGAGTCCTCCCACACATCCCCATTCCAAGTTGCAGGGTCCCATTCTTTTCTAGTCAATGCCCTCACTTTAACAGTAGACACATGGCTAGTCTGTGCATGCACCTTTGATTGCATGTCAGCCACTCACGTGAAAAGAATTTGTGTCTGTTTTTCCACAATTTCAGCTTCTTCTCTTTAGGAGATAAGACTCTCACTCAGGGCAATCTTAGCAGATTTGAGGTTCAGTATCTTCTTCTGAAGCTGGGAGTTAGAGTCCCTGAGTTCATCATTGTCTTTCATCATTTTGTCCATTGAACTCAGGAACAACCAACCTGATTCATTTTGTTCCTTTGTTCTCCACATATGGTCAAAGATATTATGTATAGTGGCACTAAACTATTTGCCTCTCCCAATGATTGAATCAAGAGTGTCAAATGCATTTATTTTGCATAAGTCTCTAAACAATTCATGCCAAGGAACCTCAGTATTCTCCATACTATTAGAAGTAGAATCCTTAGCATTTTTGGGTCTAATCATATTAAGCAGCCTACTCCAGAAACTTCAAAACCAATGAAAGGACTCCATTTTTAATATTCTGTTCCTCTAGAACCATTACTGGTACCAAAATCTATATTAGTCCAGGTTCTCTAGAGGAACAGAACCAACAGAATACATATACATATACATATACATATACATATACATATACATATACATATACATATACATATACATATACATATACATATATTCTGTATATATAATATATGAAGAGGAGTTTATCAACTTATATATATAATATATGAAGGGGAGTTTATCAACTATTATATATAATATATGAAGGGGAGTTTATCAACTATTTTATATATATATATATATATATATATATATGAAGTTCATTAACATATATATGAGGCAAAATTTATTAACTCACACAATCACAAGGTCCTAAAATAGGCCATCCTAAAATAGGCCATCTGCAAGCTGAGGAGCAAGGAGTGCCAGTCCAAGTCCCCAAACTGAAAAACTTGGAATCCGATGTTAGAGGGTAGGAAGCATCCAGCACGGGAGAAAGATGTATGCTGGAAGGCTAGGCCAGCCTAGCCTTTTCACCTTTTTCTGCCTGCTTTATATTCTAGCTGCACTGGCAGCTGATTAGATAGTACCCACCCAGATTAATGGTGAGACTGTCTTTCTCAGCTCACTGAATTAAATTTTAATTTCTTTTGGCAACACCCTCACAGACACACCCAGGAACAATACTTTGCATGCTTCCATCCAATCAAGTTGACACTCAGTATTAACCATCACATTTTCTTAGTCTGTTCAGGCTGCTATAACAAAACATATATTGACAGGCTTGTGTAAAACAGAAGAATATTTCTCACAGTTTAGGATGTGGGGAAGTCCAAGACACTGGCAGATTTGGTGACTAATAAAAGCCTACTTTTCCATAGCACGTTTTCACTGTGTCTTCACATGATAAAAGGCAGAAATTAGCTCCCTTGGGCTTCGTTTATAAAGATCCTAATCCCATTAATAAGGAATCTGCTGTCAAAACTTAATCACCTCCACAAGGATCCATCTCCTAATACCATCACCTCTGGGGTTAGAGGTTCAACATACAAATTTCAGAGAGACTTAAAACTTCAGACCATACCAGAGAGATTAAACAGAACAATGATACATAATATTTGTACATATTTATGGAATACATGAAATAATACCATTTAACAAATGTATAGAATATGAATAGTCAAGCTGGGGCATTTAGGGTATTCATCCCTTCAGGTATTTATTATCTCTATGTGTCAGGAACATTTAGAGTTCTGTGTTCTAGCTATTTTGAAATATATAATACATTGTTGTTAACTATAATCACCCTACTTTGCTACTGAACATTGAATCATTTCTTCTATCCAACTGTATTTTTGTACCCATTAACCAACTTCTATTCATTTCCTCCCCACACTTCCCAGCCTCAAGTATCCATTATTCTACTCTCTACTTCCACGAGATGCACTTTTTTAGTTCCTGTGTCTGAGTGAAAACATGCAAAGTTTGTCTTTCTGTGCTTGGTTAATTTCACAAGTAAATATACCATCTCCTTTTTATCTATTCATCTGTTGGTGAAAACTTAGGTTAATTCTTTATCTTTGCTATTATGAATACTGCTGCAATAAACATATTGTGGGTTTATTGACTTGTTCTTATTTGTATAAATTGTATAAATTGACATGTTCTTATTTGTATAAATATCCAATAGTGAGATTACTGGATTGTATGGTCATTTCATTTCTAGTTGTTTGAAAACTCTTCATACTATTTATCACAGTGGCTGTACTAATTTACATTCTAAGCAACAGTCTGTAAGAGATCCTTTTTCTCTGCATCCTAGCTAGAATCTGTCACTCTTTGTCTTTTTTAATAATAACAGCCCTGAGGCAAGATAATATTTCATTGCAGTTTTGATTTTCAATTTTCTAATGATTAGTGATAACAGCCAGAGAGGATTTACCTATTGCAGCACTCAGAACATGAGTTTTGGCAAGCCTTATCACTATAAGCTCAAGTGCTTTGGTCTTAAAGTTGAAAGGCAATCTAGGCCACAAACACTGCAACTCCTAGGTGAGTTCTTTTTTTTTTTTTTTTGAGACGGAGTCTCGCTCTGTCGCCCAGGCTGGAGTGCAGTGGCACAATCTCAGCTCACTGCAAGCTCCACCTCCCAGGTTCAGGCCATTCTCCTGCCTCAGCCTCCTGAGTAGCTGGGACTACAGGCACCCGCTACCACACCCAGCTAATTTTTTGTATTTTTAGTAAAGACGGGGTTTCACTGTGTTAGCCAGGATGGTCTTGATCTCCTGACCTCGTGATCCGCTCGCCTCTGCCTCCCAAAGTGCTGGATTACAGGCGTAAGCCACCACACCCGGCCAACTCCTAGGTAAGTTTTAATGTTGAGCTGGCTGGTCTCAGAGCCAATGGGCTTGGGGGAAAATACATGTAACCTACTGAGACAACAGCTGGGGTGGATAAGAGAGTGCTTGTTTGACCTCTACCTTAAATCCAGGCTAACCAGCTCACAGATCCAAAAGAGAAACCTTCCTTCTGCTTCAGGAGAGGAGAGAAAAAAAAAAGCAAAGAAGACTTTGTCTTGCATCTTGGATATTAGTTCAGCCACAATGGCATAATATACTGGGTAGAGTCATGAGTCCTGTTCCAGGTCCTGTCAGACAACATTTCTAGACACACCCTGGGTGAGAAGGAAATTTGCTGCCTAGAATGAAAGGACGCAGTCATGGCAAGACCCATTGCCTGCTGACTAAAGAGACATTAGGCCTTGAATAACTAGCAGAGATACTCAGTAGTACACCCTATGGGCCTTGGGTAAGACTCAGATTGACCAGCTTCAAGTGAGATGCAGCAAATTCCTAGCTGTGATGACTACAGTGAGAGACTCCATCAGCTTGTGTAAAGCAGAAAAAAATGTAAAGGGGACTTTGTCTTGCACCTTAAGTACAAGCTCAGCAACAGTGGGGTAGAGCACCAAGCAGGGTCTTGGGGTTCCTGATTCCAAGATTTGGCTCTTGGATGGAATTTCTGGACCAGCCCAGATTCAAAGGGGGAGCCCACTACCCTGAAGTTTGAGTCCCAGAACTGGCAACATCCACCACAAGGTGATTGAAGAACACTTGGACATTAAATTAATGTCAGTGGTAGCTTAGCAGTACTCTCCATGGGCTATAGGTGATGTCAGCCACGGGGCGAGGCTCCTCTGCCTATAAAAATAGGAGGAAAAAGTAGGAAGGACTGCATACTATGGTTTGAGGGTCAGCTCAGTCACAGTACAACAGAATATTAGGTAGATTTCTAAGGTTTTCACTCCAGTCTCAGGCCCCCAGATAGCATCTCTGTATGCACCCAGGGCCTGGGAGGAACTTACTACCTCGAAGAAAAAAACACAAGCTTATCTGGATTTTCCACCTGCTGACTGTACAGCCATAGGGCCTTGAGTTACCATAGGTGGTATCCAGGTAGTGGTTGCAGATAACCTTGGATGAGACCTAGTGGTGTGTTGCCTACAGGTCTGATCCAGTGCAGTCTCAGTCTTGGACACCAGGGCACTTGTGTAACTCCACTATTAGCTCCAGTTGACTCAGCATAGAGAGAGAGAGAGACTCTGTTTTTTCCAAGAGAAAGTAAAGAAAGAGAACAAGAGTCTCTGCCTGGTGATCCAAATAATTCTCACGAATTTTGTCCAAGGCCATCAAGGTGATACCTATATGAGTCTGCAAGAACCAGAGCATTAATGGGCTTAAGGTGTACACTAATGCAGATGTGGCTTAGGTTACAACATTCAAGTCCTTTCAAATACCTAGAAAGCCTTCTCAAGAAGTATGGGTACACATAAGCCCAGACAGGAAGGCTACAATCAACATCTAACTCTTCAATTCCCAGACACTAATGAATACCTACAAATATCAACATCATCCAAAAAAATATAACCTCACCAAACAAACTAAGATACCAGGGACAAATCCTGGAGAAACAGAGATATGTGGCCTGTCAGACACAGAAGTCAAAATAGTTGTTCTGAGGAAACTAAAAAAAAAAAATTAAAATAACACAGATAATGAATTTACATTTTTGCAGATAAATTTAACAAAGAGATTGAAACAATTAAAAAGGATCAAGTAGAAATTCTGGAGTTAAAAATGGAATGGACATTGGAATCTGTTTTTTTATTTTTATTTTTTATTATACTTTAAGTTCTGGAATACAGGTGCAGAATGTGCAGGTTTGTTACATAGGTATACATGTGCCATTGTAGTTTGCTGCACCATCAACCCGTCATCTACAACAGGTATTTTCTAATGCTATCCCTCCCCTTTCCTCCTACTTCCTGAGAGGCCCTGGTGTGTGATGTTCCCCTCCCTGTGCCCATATGTTCTCATTGTTCAACTCCCACTTATGAGTGAGAACATGCGGTGTTTGGTTTTCTGTTCCTGTGTTAGTTTGCTGAGAATGATGGTTTCCAGCTTCATCCATGTCCCTGCAAAGGACATGAACTCGTTCTTTTTTATGGCTGCTTAGTATTCCGTGGTGTACATGTACCACGTTTTCTTTATCCAGTCTATCATTGATGGGCATTTGGGTAGGTTCCAAGTCTTTGCTATTGTGAATAATGCTGCAATAAACATATGTACACATGTGTCTTCATAGTAGAATGATTTATAATCCTTTGGATATATAACCAGTAATGGGATTGCTGGGTCAAACGGTATTTCTAGTTCAGGATACTTGAGGAATTGCCACATTGTCTTCAACAATGGTTGAACAAATTTACACTCAGACCAACAGTGTAAAAGTGTTCCTATTTCTCCACATCCTCTCCAGCATCTGTAGTTTCCTGAGTGTTTAATGATTGCCATTTTAACCGGTGTGAGATGGTATCTCATTGTAGTTTTGATTTGCATTTCTCTAATGACCAGTGATGATGAGCTTTTTTTCATATGTTCATATGAATGTCATCTTTTGAAAAGTGGCTGTTCATATCCTTTGCCTAATTTTTGAAGGGGTTCTTTGCGTTTTTTTTGTAAATTTGTATAAGTTCCTTGTAGATTCTGGATATCAGCCCTTTGTCAGATGGAGAGATTGTAAAAATTTTCTCACATTCTGTAGGTTGCCTGTTCACTCTGATGAGCGTTTCTTTCGGTGTGCAGAAGGTATTTAGTTTAATTATATCTCATTTTTCAATTTTGGCTTTTGTTGCAATTGCTTTTGGTGTTTTAGTCATGAAGACTGTGCCCATGCCTATGTCCTGAATGATATTGCCTAGGTTTTCTTCTAGGGTTTTTATGGTTTTATGTCTTACATTTAAGTGTTTAATATATCTTGAGTTAATTTTTGTATAAGGTGTAAGGAAGGGGTTCACTTTCAGTTTTCTGCATATGGGTAGCCAGTTTCCCAACACCATTTATTAAATAGGGAATCCTTTCCTCATTGCTTGTTTTTGTCAGGTTTGTTGAAGATCAAAAGGATGTAGACGTGTGGTGTTATTTCCGAGGACTCTGTTCTGTTCCATTGGTCTACATATCTGTTTTGGTACCAGTACCATGCTGTTTTGGTTACTGTAGCCTTGTAGTATAGTTTGAAGTCAGGTACCATGATGTCTCCAGTTTTGTTCTTTTTGTTGAGGATTGTCTTGGCTATATGGGCTCCTTATTGGGTTCCATATGAAATTTAAAGTAGCTTTTTTCTAATTCTGTGAAGAAAGTCAATGGTAGCTTGATGGGAATAGCATTAAATCTATAAATTACTTTGGGCAGTATGACCATTTTCATGATATTGATTCTTCCTATCCATGAGCATGGCATGTTTTTCCATTTGTGTCCTCTCTTATTTCCTTGAGCAGTGGTTTGTAGTTATACTTGAAGATGTCCTTCACATCCCTTGTAAGCTGTATTCCTAGGTATTTTATTCTCTTTGTAGCAATTGAGATTTGGGAGTTTACTCATGATTTGGCTCTCTGTCTATTATTGGTATATAGGAATGCTTGTGATTTTTGCACATTGATATTATATCCTGAGACTTTGCTACAGTTGTTTATCAGCTTAAGGAGTTTTTGGCTGAGACAATGGGGTTTTGTAAATATACAACCAGGTCATCTGAAAACAGAGATAATTTGACTTCCTCTCATCTTATTTGAGTACACTTTATTTCTTTCTCTTGCCTGATTGCCCTGGCCAGAACTTCCAATACTATGTTGAATAAGAGTATTGAGAGAGGCCATCTTTGTCTTGTGCCAGTTTTCAAAGGGACTGCTTCTGGCTTTTGCCCATTCAGTATGATTTTGGCTGCAGGTTTGTCATAAATAGCTATTATTATTTTGAAATACGTTCTGTCAATACCTAGTTTACTGAGTGTTTTTAGCATGAAAGGCTGTTGAATTTTATCGAAGGCCTTTTCTGCATCTATTGAGATAATCATGTGGTGTTTATCATTGGTTCTGTTTATGTGATGGATTATGTTTACTGATTTGCATATGTCGAACCAGCCTTGCATCCCAGGGATGAAACCAAATTGATCGTGGTGGATAAGCTTCTTAATATGCTGCTGGATATGGTTAGTCAGTATTTCATTGAGGATTTTTGCATCGATGTTTATCAGGAATATTGGCCTGAAAATTTTTTTGTGGTGTCTCTGCCAGGTTTTGGTATCAGGATGATGCTGGCTTCATAAAATGAGTTAAGGAGGAGTCCCTCTTTCTTCTATTGTTTGGAATAGTTTCAGATGAATGGTACCAGCTCCTCTGTACCTCTAGTAGAATTTGGCTGTTATTCCATCTGATCCTGGGCTTCCTTTGGTAGGTAGGCTCTTTTTTTTTAATACTTTAAGTTCTAGGGTACATGTGCACATTGTGCAGGTTTCTTACACATGTATACATGTGCCTTGTTGGTGTGCTGCACCATTAACTCCTCATTTACATTAGGTATATCTCCTAAAGTTATCCCTCCCCCCTCCTCCCACCCCATGACAGGCCCCAGTGTGTGATGTTCCCCTTCCTGTGTCCAAGTGTTCTCATTGTTCAATTCCCAACTATGAGTGAGAACACACGGTGTTTGGTTTTTTGTCCTTGTGATAGTTTGCTGAGAATGATGGTTTCCAGCTTCATCCATGTCCCTACAAAGGACATGAACTCATCCTTTTTTATGGCTGCGTAGTATTCCATGATGTATATGTGCCACATTTTCTTAATCCAGTCTATCATTGTTGAACATTTGGGTTGGTTCCAAGTCTTTGCTATTGTGAATAGTGCCGCAATAAACATATGTGTGCATGTGTCTTTATAGCAGCATGTTTTAAAATCCTTTGGGTATATACCCAGTAATGGGATGGGTGGGTCAAATGGTATTTCTAGTTCTAGATCCCTGAGGAATCGCCACACTGACTTCCACAATGGTTCAACTAGTTTACAGTCCCACCATCAGTGTAAAAGTGTTCCTATTTCTCCACATCCTCTCTAGCACCTGCTGTTTCCTGACTTTTTAATGACCACCATTCTAACTGGTGTGAGATGGTATCTCATTGTGGTTTTGGTTTGCATTTCTCTGATGGCCAGGGATGATAAGCATTTTTTCATTTGTCTTTTGGCTGCATAAATGTCTTCTTTTGAGAAGTGTCTGTTCATATCCTTCACCCACTTTTTGGTGGGGTTGTTTGTTTTTTTCTTGTAAATTTGTTTGAGTTCATTAGGATACAAAATCAATGTGCTAAAGTCACAAGCATTCTTATACACCAATAACAGACAAACAGAGAGCCAAATCATGAGTGAACTCCCATTCACAATTGCTTCAAAGAGAATAAAATACCTAGAAATCCAACTTACAAAGTATGTGAAGGACCGCTTCAAGGAGAACTACAAACCACTGCTCAATGAAATAAAAGAGGATACAAACAAATGGAAGAACATTCCATGCTCATGGGTAGGAAGAATCAATATTGTGAAAATTGCCATACTGCCCAAGGTAATTTATAGATTCAATGCAATCCCCATCAAGCTACCAATGACTTTCTTCACAGAATTGGAAAAAACTACTTTACATTTCATATGGAACCAAAACAGAGCACACAGAGCCAAGATAATCCTAACCAAAAAGAACAAAGCTGGAGTCATCACGCTACCTGACTTCAAACTATACTACAAGGCTACAGTAACCAAAACAGCAAGGTACTGGTACCAAAACAGAGATATAGACCAATGGAACAGAACAGAGCCCTCAGAAATAATGCCGCATGTCTACAACGATCTGATCTTTGACAAACCTGACAAAAACAAGAAATGGGGAAAGGATTCCCTATTTAATAAATGGTGCTGGGAAAACTGGCTAACAATATGTAGAAAGTTGAAACTGGATCCCTTCCTTACACCTTATACAAAAATTAATTCAAGATGGATTGAAGACTTAAATATTAGACCTAAAACCATAAAAACCCTAGAAGAAAACCTACGTAATACCATTCAGGACATAGACATGGGCAAGGACTTCATGTCTAAAACACCAAAAGCAATGGCAACAAAAGCTAAAATTGACAAATGGGATCTAATTAAACTAAAGAGCTTCTGCACAGCAAAAGAAACTACCATCAGAGTGAACTGGCAACCTACAGAATGGGAGAAAATTTTTGCAATCTACTCATCTGACAAAGGGCTAATATCCAGAATCTACAAAGAACTCAAACAAATTTACAGGAAAAAAACAACCTCGTCAACAAGTGGGCAAAGGATATGAACAGACACTTCTCAAAAGAAGACATTTATGCAGCCAACAGACATGAGAAAAAATGCTCATCATCACTGGGCATCAGAGAAATGCAAATCAAAACCACAGTGAGATACCATCTCATACCAGTTAGAATGGCAATCATTAAAAAGTCAGGAAACAACAGGTGCTGGAGAGGATAGGAATACTTTTACACTGATAGTGGGACTGTAAACTAGTTGAACCATTGTGGAAGTCAGTGCGGCAATTCCTCAGGGATCTAGAACTAGAAATACCATTTGACCCACCCATCCCATTACTGGGTATATACCCAAAGGATTATAAAACATGCTGCTATAAAGACACAAGCACACATATGTTTATTGTGGCACTATTCACAATAGCAAAAACTTGGAACCAACCCAAATGTCCAAAAATGATAGGCTGGATTAAGAAAATGTGGCATATATACACCATGGAATACTATGCAGCCATAAAAAATGATGAGTTCATGTCCTTTGCAGGGACATGGATGAAGCTGGAAACCATCACTCTCAGCAAACTATCACAAGGACAAAAAACCCAACACCGCATGTTCTCACTCATAGGTGGGAATTGAACAATGAGAACACTTGGACACTGGAAGGGGAACATCACACACCGGGGCCTGTTGTGGGGTGGGGGGACGGGGGAAGGATAGCATTAGGAAATGTACCTAATGTTAAATGACAAGTTAATGGTGCAGCACACCAACATGGCACATGTATACATATGTAACAAACCTGCATGTTGTGCACATGTACCCTAAAATTTAAAGTATAATAAAAAAAAGAAGACTAACATAACGCATTTAGAAATCAAACTTCGAAGTCCAAAAAAAAGAAAGGCTCTGAAAAGCAGCAAGAATAAAGAAACAAGTAAAATAAAATTGAACTCTAATATACCTGACAGCAGACTCTACTGTGTAAACTTTAAAATAGAGGAGAAAGTGGCATGATATATTTAAGATACTAAAAATAAGATGAAAACAATGACCCTACAACAGTGTTTCTTGTGAAAATATCCTTCAAACATTAAGGAAAAATAAAAACTTCAAGAGACAAGTACAAGCTAAAGGACTTAATCAACACCAGAACTGATCTAGAAGAAATGCAAAAGGAAGTACTTCAGTCGGAAAAAAAGAATACAGTGAGCAATAAGAAAACACCTGAAGGTATAAAACTCATTGTCAATAGTAAGTACATACACAAGAAAAGAAATATATATATATATATATATATATATATATATACACTGTAACTGTATATATATATATATACACTGTAACTGTATATATATATATATATATATATATACACTGTAACTGTGGTATGTAAACTAGTCAAGTAAAAAGAGTAAATTGTAAAGTAATAAAAAATGATAACAATTTTTCAAAACATCAAATTATAATTCAATATATAGAAACAACAAAAAGTTAAAAAGTAGGGGAATGAAGTTAACTCATAGAATCTTTATTAGTATTTTCTGCTTGTTTGTTTGTTTACACAAACTGTTGGTTGTTATCAGGTTAAAACAATGGGGCATAAGATTGCATTTGCATGTCTCACGGTAACTTCAGAGCAAACAACATATAATAGATACAAAAAAAATAAAAAGAAAAAAACTAGATTATATAAACAGAGACAATTGCCTTCACTAACAGGAAGACAGTTAAGAAAAAAAGGAGGAAAGGAAGACCACAAAACAACCCAAAACAAAAAACAAAATGGCAAGAGTGAATTATTACTTATCAATAATAACATTGAATATAAATGTACTAAACTCACCAATTAAAAGACATAGACTGGCTGAATGGATAAAAAAAGAAAAGAACCAGTGATCTGTTGCTGCAAGAAACACACATCACTTATAAAGAAACATGTAGAATTAAAATAAATAAATGGAAAAAGAGATTTCATGCAAATTGAAATTAAAAAAAGAAAAGCAGTAGCTATACTTATATAAGATAAATTAGTTTTTAGGACAAAATCTATCAGACGAGACAAAGAAGGTTATCATATAATAATAAAACAGAATAAAACAGTCATTTTAGCCAGTGATTTATATATATATATATATATATATATATATATATATCTCCAACACTGGAACACACAGACATATAAAGCAAATATTATTAGAGATAAGCAGAAAGATAGATTCCAGTACAGCAATAGCCGGAGACTTCAACACCACACTTTCAGCATTGGAAAGATCTTCTGTACAGAAAATTAAAACAATAACAACAACAACATCGGCCTTAATCTGAACTATAGAATAGATGTATTGAATAGATATTTACAGAACGTTTCATCCATGAGCTACAGAATACACTTTCTTCTCCTTAGCACATAGATTATTCTCAAGGACAGGCCATATGTTAAGTCACAAAACAAGACTAAAACATTAAAAAAAATTGAAGTAATATTGAGCACTTTCCCTGACCACAAGGGAATAAAGCTAAAAATCCATAACAAGAGGAATTTTGGAAACTATACAAATACATGGAAATTAAACAATATGCTCCTCAATGACCAATGAGTCTATGAAAAAATTAAGAGGAAAATCTAAAAAAAAAAGATTTTTGAAACAAATGATAATAGGAGCACAACATACCAAAACCTATGAGATTAAGCAAAAGTAGTATTAGAAGTAAAGTGTGTAGCAGCCCCTACGTAAAAAAGCATATATAAAGTGTATATAAAATGTATATAAGTGCCTACATAAAAAAACTTCAAATGAACAATCATCTATGTGTCTTAAAGAACTAGAACAACAACAACAACAAAACAAACCCCACAATTAGTAGAAGAAAATAGATAATAAAGGTCACAACAAAAATAAATGAAATTGCAATGAGATCATAATATAAAAGTTCAATGAAACAAAAGTTGAATTTTTGAAAATTTAGAAAAAAATTGACAAACCTTTAACAAGACTAAGAAAAAAAGAGAGCTAATTCAAATGAATAAAATCAGAGTTGACAAAAAAAAGACATTACATTACAACTGACACCACAAAAATTCAAATAATTATTAGTAGCTACTATGAACAACAATACGCCTATATATTGGAAACTCTGGAAGAAATAGACAAATTCCTAGACATATACAACCTACAAATTTAACTCTGAATAGATCTATAAAGCTGAACAGACGAACCACAAGGAGCAAGACAGAAGCTGTAATAAAAATTCTCTCAGAAAAAAACAAAATCCCAGGACCCTATGGCTTCACTGTTTATTCTACCAAATATTTAATGAAAAATAAATACCAGTCCTACTCAAACTATTCCAAAAAGTAGAGGAGGAGGGAATACTTGCAAGCTCATTCTACAAGGCCACTATTATCCTTGTACTAAAAGCAGATGAAGAGACATTAAAAAAAAACTAGTGATCAATATATCTGATGAATATTGATACAAAAATCTTCAACAAAATACTAGCACACCAAATTCAACCATATATTAGAAAGATCATTCATCATGACCAAGTGGAATTTATCTCTGAGATGCAAGTATCCTTCAACATAGGCAAGTCAATTAAATTGATACATCATATTGACAGAAAGAAGAAGACCATATGATCATTTCAATTGATGCTGAAAAAGCATTTGATAAAATTCAACATTCCTTTGTGGTAAAGCCCCTCAAAACTGGTAATAGAATGAACATATCTCAACATAAAAGCTGTATACAACAGATTCACAACTTGTCTTATACTGAATCCTTTCCTCTAAGATCAGGAACATGACAAGGTTGCCCAGTTTCACCACTATTATTTAACATAGTGCTGGAAGTCCTAGCTAGAGCAATCAGGCAGGAGAAAGAAATAAAGGGCATCCAAACTGCAAAAGCAGAAGTCAAATTATCCCTGTTTGCAGATTATATGATCTCATATTTCGCAAAACATAAAGACTTTATTAAAAAAACTGTTTGAACTAGCAAATTCACTATAGTTGCAGGATACTTAATCAACATACAAAAATCAGTAACATTTCTGTATATCAACAGTGTAAAATCTGAAAAAGAAATATAAAGTTATCCCAATTAAAATAGCCACAAATAAAAGTAAATGCTTATCAACTTAACCAAAGAAGTGAAATTTCTCTCTAATAAAGACCATAAAATGTTGATTAAAAAAATTGAACAGGACACCAAAAACTGGAAAGGTAATTTATGTTCATGGATTGGAAGAATCAATATTGTTTAAATGACCATACTACTCAAAGCAATCTACAGCTTCAATGCAATCCCTGTCAAAATACCAATGACATTCTTCAAAACTAGAGAAAGACAACTCTAAAACTTATATGGAACCACAAAGGACCCAGAATAGCCAAAGCTATCCTAATGGAAAAAAAAAATGGGATCCCATTACCTGACTTCAAATTATACTGCAGAGTTATTGTGACCAAAACAGCATGTTACTGGCATAAAAACAGAAACAAAGACTAATGGAACAGAATAGAGGACCCAGAAACAAATCCACACACCTACATTAAACTCATTTTTCGACAAAGGTGCCAGGAACATACACTGGGGAAAAGAGAGTCTCTTTAATAAATGGTGCTGAGAAAACTGAATATGCATATGCAGAATGAAACTACACCTCTATTTCTCACCATAGAAATAGCACTACCATATACTCCAGGGGTCACACTTCTGGGTATATACCCAAAAGATAGGAAATCAGTATATTTAAAATCAGTATATTTAAAATACATCTGCCATGTTTGTTGCAGCACTGTTCACAATAGCTAAACTTTGAAGCAACTTAAGTGTTCATCAACAGATGAATGGATAAAGAAAATATGGTACATCTATGCAATGGAGTACCATTCAGCCATAAAAAAGAAAGTGATCCTGTCATTTGCAACAACATGGATTGAACTGGAGGACGCTATTCTACGTGAAATAAAACAGGCACTGAAAGACAAACATTGCATATTCCCCCTATCTGTGGGAGCTAAAAATCAAATAATTAGAGGGCAGAAGGATAGTTACCAGAGGTTGGGAAGGGTAGTTGAAGGAGGAGAAACTCAGGAAGGTTAATGGGTATAAAAAATAATTACAAAGAATTAATAAGACATTGTATTTGACAGCACAACAGGATGACAACTGTAAAGAAATTTAACTGGACATTTATAGTAACTAAGAGTGTAATTGGATTTTTGGAAACATGAGGGAAAAATGCTTGAGATAATGGATACTCCCATTCATCCTGATATGATTATTATGCATTGCATGCTTGTATCAAAATATCTCATGTACTTCATAAATATATACACCTACTCTGTACCCACAAAAAATAAAGTTAAAATTTTAAAGAAACTATATATGTAAAAAAGTTTTCAGTATAGTCAAAGAAACAAGAATGTAAACAAAATGTTGCAATAATTATGACACATTCTATAATTGATATACTCATAGAGTATAGATAAGAACAACCTAAATCTGTTGAGGGGGTAAATAAGTGGGCAAATTAAAATAAAATTTCTCGATAAATAAGTTAAATATTTTTAAAGTAATATTTGTTAAAATTATTGAAACTGTATCAGGTCCAGATTTCAAGTTAAAAGCAACTCCCAGCTACAATGCAACTAGTGTATTTACAAAACAGAATTTAGTATAACTTCAAGTATGAGCACAAAATTATGCCTAAGAATAATGAAAAATTACCTCCAAACAGATAACATACTATCTAAAAAGCATAACACTTAAGAGTTTGAGTATCATTTGGAGACTTGTAAATTTTCATAATTCTTACATTACAGTAATTTTCAGCTATGTATTATGTTTTTGATATAGTTTGGGATTCCTTGGTAGTATTTTGTTAAAGATTGTTGCATATTTGTTTATCATAAGTATTTTTCTATAGATTTTATTGTTGTTCTTGTTACTTTCTTTTCTGGTTTTAGTATCAGGGTTACGTTGTTTTTATGAATGGGTTAGGGAGAATTCTCTTATTTCAATGTTTTGAAATCATTTGAAGGGAACTGGTGTTAGTTCTTCTTTGTAAATTTGGGAGTCTTCAGCAGTGAAACCATTTGGCTGTGGCCTTTTTTGTTGTTGGGAGCCTTTTTGTTACCTGTTCAAACTCATTACTTGTTACTGGTCTGTTCGGGTTTTCTATTTTTTTTAATTCTACCTTTGTAGGCTGTATGTGTCCAGAAATTTATGTTTCTTCTAGATTTTTTAGGTTGTCAGTGTATGTTTGTTCATAACAGTATCTGAAGATCTTTTGTTTCTGTGATTTTAGATTTAATTTATCATTTTCTATTTCTGATTTTATGTATTTGGGTCTTTTTATTTTCTTAGTATAGCTAGTGGTTTTTTGGTTTTATTTAATTTTCAAATTTTTTCATTTTGTTGATGCTTTGTATACTTTAGTTTATATTTTGTTTAGTTTTACTTTGATCTTTATCATTTATTTTTTATTTAAGAAGTATTTTTTTTAATTTGCTTTTCTAGTTCTTTTAGCTGCATAATTACATTGCTTATTTAAAATGTTTCTACTTTTTCTATGTAGGCTTTTATTGATATAAACTTCATTTTAGCATTTTTTCTGTGGTATCCCATAGGTTAGGGTATGTTAAGTTTAAATTTTCATTCTTGTCAATAATTTTAAAAATTTTCTTTTTAATCTCTTTCTTGACCCATAATCATTCATTAGCATGTTATATAATTTTTGTTAAATGAAATGTTAACTGTATTTATACAGTTTCCAAAGTTCCTGGTTATTTATTTCTAGTTTTATTCCATTGTGCTCTGAAAAAAAATTGACATGATTATGACTTTTTAAAAAGTTTAAAACTTGTTTATGTCATAATATGTGATTTATCATGCAGAATGCTACGTGTGCTGATAAGAATGTGTATTCTGTAGCTGTTAGATAAAATGTCCTATAAATATCTTTTAGGTTCATTTGGGCTAAAGTGCAGTTTAAATGCAAGTTTCTTTGTTAATTTTCTGTCTAAATAATTGAGCTTGTGCTGAGAGGGCGTATTGAAGTCCCCAACTATTATTGTGTTGGAGTCTATTTCCCCCTTTTGATTTAATAATGTTTGCTTTATATAATGAGTGCTGTAGTGTTGCTTTTGTATAAGTTTAGAACTGTTATTATCTTCCCACTGAATAGACCCATTTATTATATAATGACCTTCTTTGTCTCTTTTCTAGTGTTTTTAACTTAAGATCTATTTTATTAAATATAATTAGAGCTGCCCCTGCTCATTTTTCGTTTCTGTTTGCATGGACTATCTTTTTCCATTTTTTTAACTTTAAGTCTCTATGTATCTTTATCCATGAGATGAGTTTCTTGTGGACAACATGTAAGTGGGTTATGCTTTAAAAAATTTATTTAATCAGTCCATATCTTTTAATGGAGAGTTTAATCTGTTTATATTTAAATTATTATTTATACCTGAGGGCATATTCCTGTCATAATATTAATTTCTGATATTTTTGTATATTCTTTTATCTTCCTCATCTCTTTTATTGTTTATCATTGCCATTTGGTGGTTTTCTTTAATTATAACATTTTAGTTCTTTCTCTTCCTCACTTGTGTGTTAAATCTACCAGTGGGTTTTATACTTTTGTGTATTTTCATAATTGAACATATCATTCTTTTACTTCCACATGGGCCCTCTTAAGCATTTCTCGTATGGCTGGCCTAATGGTAAATAAATTCTTTCAGCTTTTGTTTTTCTGGAAAAACCTTTATTTCTCTTTCATTTATGAAGGATAACTTTGTTGGGTATAATATCCTTGGCTGGGAGTATTTTTTAAAAACACTTTAAATATATCATCCCCTTCTCCCCTGGCCTGTAAGGTTTGTGCTGAAAAAATCCGTTGTTATTTTGAAGGGGGTTTCTTTTATAGTGACTAGATGCTTATCTCTTGATGTTTTTAGAGTTATCTCTATTTCTTGGACTTTTGACAGTTTAATTATAATGTGCCATGGAGAAGATCTTTTGAAATATTTTCTATTTGGGAATCTCTGAGCTTTCTATATCCTCATATGTAAGTCTCTTGCTAGACATTGAAACTTTTCAGCTATAATTTTATTAAGTGGGTTCTACAAATCTTTCATTTACTTTTTGTTTTCTGGGACACTAAAATTATTTAAATTTGATTTCTTTGTTGTGTCTCATTTCTCATAAAGGCTTCATTCATTCTTTTCTTTTCTGTATTTTTTTTCTGACTGGGTTATTTCAAATGTGCTGTATTTTTGAAATTACCTTTTCTGCTTGATCTAGTGTATTGTTGAAATGTTAAAATTTATTTTATAATTTATTCAATAATAATTCTTCAGTTCCACAATTTTCTTTTTTTAATTACAATTATCTCTGGTAAATTTTAAATTCATAGCCTCTAATTTTTTTCTGATTTTTTGTACTATTTTTCAAAATAATTTTGTGTTTTGCTAAGCTTTTTAATATCATTATTTTGAATTATTTATTTGAGATTTCATAAATCTTTTTAAATAAAATGTGTTGCTAAACAACTATTGTGTTTCTTTGTAGGCATCACATTTCCTTTTTATGTTCCTTATTTTCTTATATTAATATCTGCACATCTGTTTTAACAGTAACTTCTTCAATTTTTTTTGAATTGGATTTTGTAGAGGTGGACTTTTTCCTGAAGATGTATCTATGATATTGGCTGGATAAGGCACTTTAGCTTTGATTCTGGGTGTATGCAGTAGTGTAATCCTTATATGACTTTGGGGGGCTGTAAATAGCATGAGCTGTGTCTGACTTCCTCAGTTGCTTAAGTGCTTGTTGTTAGTAGAGGCTGTGTTAACGTTTTGCTAGGGATAGGGACATTATGTGGGCTTATCTTAGGTTCCCAATGGTGGCAGCAGCAGGACAGGCATGCCTGTTCTGGGCACCAGAGAGGTATACATTGGCACTGGTGTTAGTGGGTCTGGGCCAGCCTATTCTTAAGCCTCCAGTCAACTTGCTTGGGTTCTAGTAGTGTCAGTGGTAGGTGAGGCTTGTTGATGGGTCCTCAGGCCTCTGGACAGTGGTTATGGCATAGATGATGGTGGTAGCAATGACAAAACAGTCCTATGGCTCCCAGTCAGTATGCATTGGTGTTAACAGTAGCTGCAGTGGTCTGGGAGGCTAGTCACCAAGCCTGCAGATGGCACACGCAGGTGGTTTCCAGCTCTTGTGGTAGTGATACAGGAGCTAGAAAGAAATTATTTAGGCATATAGTGATGGCAACAGAGTCATCAGCAAGGCTTTCCTTCTAACAAAAAGCTGTCCCCAAAGTAACTTACTTTCTAACAAAGAACAGCCTAAAAAAAATCAAGCTGCAAACATAGATAAGCATGCTGGAACCTTGCACAGGCAAATGCCAGCAGCTGTGCCAATAGCAAAGGGCTACCTGGGGGCCAGGCATAACCAACATGGAGGCTCCATCTTTCCTTTTTTTTTTTGGTTACCACTTGTGCAGTAAAGGAATGGGAAGGGGTGAGTAAATACAGCACCTTCAACTGAAGCATCCAGGTACTCACACTGGGCCTAATCAAGAAAACCAACTTGACCCAGAGTATGAAGAAAAGCAAGGCAAGATGATGGCCCATCTGGGAGCAACAGAGAGCCAGGGGATCACCCCCTGCCCAGAAAAGTGGTGAATGAATGTGTGACCCTAGGGTCCTACACTTCTCCCATGAATCTTTGCAACTTTTGGGTCAGGAGCACCCCTCATGAACCCACTCCACTGGGGCCTTCAGTCTGACAGACAGAAATACATAGAGTCTCAGCAGAGAAGCCATTTGGGCACACACAGAGACCAGGAACCCTGGATACTTGGGCTTTCTAGGCTTCCTGGCAAAAGTAGATGCATCTCCGGCAAAGTGGGAGGTTATATCCTTATATAGACCCCTGGTAAAGACTCTGAATCCAGAAGGCTGCCCAGAGACAGTCTGCAGGCCACAATTCTATGGCACCTCGCACGATAAGACACAGTGGCTTGGAATTCCAGCCAGCTACCATTAGCAGTGTTGCACCTCCCCGAGAAAGAGTTCCCAGAGGGAGTGGCTGGTCACCATTTTTGCTGTTTAGATGACTTAGCAACTCCAGCCTATGAGCTTTGAAGATTCCAAGATGACAGCGGGTAGAAGGGATCCCCCAGCACAGCACAGCTACTCTACAAAAATGTGGCCAGACTGCTTTTTAAAGTGGGTTCTCAATATCTTTCCTCCTCACTGAGTGGGACCTCCCAACAGAAGCCTCCAGCCACCCAGCCACCTCCACCGGTTTTCCACAGTGAAGAGAGATTTGAAATCTCCCTCTCACGGAGCTCCCAAGCTCCCAGAGGGAGAAGTGAGCTTCTATCATTGCTGTTTTGGCAACATAGCCATTCAAGCCTTTAGGCTATGGACAGTCTGAGCTGACTAGGGATGGAGGCTGTCCCCCAGCATAGCACAGCTGCCCAGCAAAAAATATGGCCAGGCTGCTTTTTAAAGTGCCTCCCTGATTCCATTTCTCACCACTGGCAGATCCTCCCAACCAGGTCTCCAGCTATTCCCGCTAGTGTTCTCTGGCTTAAAGAGGTTTCCAACCTCCTTTGGATGGAGCTCCCAGAGGGAGGAGGGGGCCACTCTCTTTGCTGTTTGGATGGCTTAGACATTCCAGTTTTGGGGCTTTGGAATGTTTAATGTTACGGAGACCTGAAGCTGACACCCTACACGGTACAACTACTCTAAGAAAACATGACCAGACTGTTTTTAAAGCAGGTCCCTAATTCCATTACTCCTTACAGGGCAGGACCTCCCAACCAGGGTCTCTAGCCACTTCCTACTGTGCATTTGGGCCAGCAGCAGGTGCACAACTTCCTGGAATGAAGCTCCCAGAGGGAGGGTCAAGATGTCATCTTTGCTGTTTCATAGCCTTCACTGGAGATACTTCCAGGTACTGGAAAATCTGAGATGACTAGGGACTGGAGTGAGTCTTCAGCATACCACAGCAGACCTACAAAAGAAGGGCTAGACTTACATGGGTGCTCATTCCAATGTCTCCTCACCAGGCATGTCTTCCGGGGCCTCTAGTCACCCCCTGGCAGAGCTATTGAGCCAATAGCAACTTGGCAACTCCCTGGACAGAGCCTCTCAAGGTAGCTGAAAGCCTCCCTGCAACTGCCTCTGCAGTGGTACTGCCCTTGCTGTGCTTGGACTAACAAAAAAGCAAAGACCTAAAGTGCCCTGTCTACACCTCCAATAAGCTTCAGTTGACCCATGTAAAGGAGACCAGGCCATCTCTCATAAATCACACACACCCCACACTGCTCGTCATCAGACAGGGAATCCCTAACTTGGCCACACAGCACAGACTCTCAATCTTGGGATGATTTCACTAAGTGATTGTTATCCTGCATCTTTTTGAGTTGGAGCCCCCAGGAGACAAGCAAAATACCCTTGGCCACAACCACTACTAAGGTCCCTTCTTCTGCTGCCTCCAAGTTGAGGAAGGAACATAAACACTGACATCATCCCAGAATTGCAGTGGGCAGTTCAGGAATGCGAAGCTATGATCTAGAGCCAGCATTCAAGGGGGAGAGAAACTCACACTTTCAGAACATCAGTGGGAACATGGCCACAACTGTGAGAAAACGTAAGGGAGCCACACAACTGATCAAGAGTCTACCAACTGACCAATAAGCCTAAGTGCCACCTACTGGATCACATCCCAAACCATCAACACCAAAAATACCTCACTAACATACCCACCTTCAAAACTAGAGGCAAGAAGTCAGCTTCAAATAAAGACACTGGGCAAAGCCTTGGCCCTGTGAAAACATCCAGAAAAGAAGTTGATTGACTGTACTAAATCTGCACTGCAGTTAAAGGAGCACCAACATACAGAGATGAGAAAGAACCAAGTCAAAAGCTCAAGTAAATCCAATGATCAGAGTATTGTATGTCCTCTGTGAAAGGAAATTCAATTTTGGGACCACAAACTCATTTAGCCAAAGGGAAAAGAGAAGCTGGGAACTGGGTCACACAAACCTGCCTCCCCTTTTTGGTTCCTAAATAAGATGATGGCCACAAGATGAAAAGCTACATGCCTCCCCTATATTTTGCCCTCAATGAAATTCCTAGTGAGCTTCAAGATCTGTTAAGGTGTTTCTGTTAAAATTTCATCATGGAAATGAAAATTGATAGCTTATCTTTACAGGTGCAGTCACCTTTGGCCCACCAGACACAAATGCATATCTGATTGTTCCCCTGCCCCATTTTGTCTATGTTATCTTATGTAAAATGCAAATTCCCTGCATTTTCCCTTGCTGTATTTTTCTATGTTACCTTACGTAAAAAAATAAAAAAAAGCACATTCACTGAACCAGACAAAGGCATGAATGACTATTTTTCCCTACCATTCTCTTACATGAAAATTGTGTACTTCTCAATATCCCGCCCTTTACCCTTCAAATTTGGAGCCCTCAAAATCATCTTTAAGTGCATAGACCTGTCTCCTGGGTGCAGATCCTTAACTTTGGCAAATAAGCATCCTAAAATGCTTGAGACTTGTCTTGTCATTTTTCACGATTGATATCTGGTAACCACGATGAGATCCTGAGTGATGGTGACCCGGCCTGAAGTGGCTCTCCTCTCAGTGCTTGGTACTGACTTGGGAACCTTATAGCCCAAACTGATAGAATGATTTGCTGAAGTCCAGGACCTCTTTTCTCCAGGGATCTCTGATCTCCCAACATTTTTTTAGTTGGAGAGTCTGAGGCTTATTTCCTGTTAAAAAGCCTCTTTCTTGAGTTGAGAGACAGGACTAGCTGGATTTCCTAGGCCGACTAAGAATCCCTAAGCCTAGCTGGGAAGGTGACCACATCCACCTTTAAACATGGGGCTTGCAACTTAGCTCACACCCGACCAATCAGGTAGGAAAGAGAGATCACTAAAATGCTGATTAGGCAAAAACAGGAGGTAAAGAAATAGCCAATCATCTATTGCCTGAGAGCACAACCGGAGGGACAATGATCGGGATATAAACCCAGGCATTCAAGCCGGCAATGGCTACCCTCTTTGGGTCCCCTCCCTTTGTATGGGAGCTCTGTTTTCACTCTATTAAATCTTGCAACTGCACTCTTCTGGTCCGTGTTTGTTAGGGCTCAAGCTGAGCTTCTACTTGCCTTCCACCACTGCTGTTTGCAGTCATCGCAGACCCGCCGCTGACTTCCATCCCTCCGGATATGGCAGGGTGTCCGCTGTGCTCCTGATCCAGGGAGGCGCCCATTGCCGCTCCTGATCAGGCTAGAGGCTTGCTGTTGTTCCTGCATGGCTAAGTGCCTGGGTTTGTCCTAATCAAGCTGAACACCAGTCACTGGGTTCCATGGTTCTCTTCCATGACCCACGGCATCTAATAGAGCGATAACACTCATCGCATGGCCCAAGATTCCATTCCTTGGAATCCGTGAGGCCAAGAACCCCAGATCAGAGAACATGAGGCTTGCCACCATCTTGGAAGCAGCCCGCCACCTTTTTGGAAGCGGCCCGCCACCATCTTGGGAGCTCTGGGAGCAAGAACCCCCGGTAACAGAGGGAATTTTCACTTGCTTCCATCAAGAAAAGTGAGCCCATCTGCATCTGCAAAGGTGGAGAGCCATCTTAACCTTGAGCCACCATTACTAGGTAAGAAACTGGTTTGGGATTCTGTCTTGAAAGTTCTTTTAAATGACTAAAATTAGCATTAACAACCAGCTTGTGGTAATTCCTGCTTACACTTAGAGCACTCAGAAATCATATAATTTGTGTGATAATTGTTAGTTTTGCTTAACTGTTTTGCTGTTTGTTCCTGCCTTGTTGGTGTGTGTGTGTGTGTGTGTGTGTGTGTGTGTGTGTGTGTGTGTGTGTGTTTTGGTACTTTCCCCTTTTGGATTTGACCAAATCTGAACCCTCTATCTCATGAGTATGGAATCTTTCACACCAAATAAATAAGAGCACCTTGCTCCCCTCAGCCTTTCGGGGCATTCTCAGGTGACTGAGAATCACATGAGGGTGACTGGGTGGAACTCTCCCTAAGATGTGCAGCAGCTCTACATAAGCTTTCCCCTCAGGAGAGCATACTTAGGTTCTAATCTAAGCCAGCAGGTGCATATAAGGCGCTGACCCCTCCCGCACCTTGAGCCCCTGACACAGTGCCAGGTAGCTGTGACACGGGTGGACCAAACCGGTTCAGGGAGTAACGTCCATGAAAAACTAGGTCTGCAAGCCACACATTTCGGGTCCGACACACGTCCTGATTTGATCAAATCCAAAAGGGAACTCTAAATTATGGGAAATGAGGCAAGTTAGTTAGCTAAAACCCCAGCAGCTGTGGAACATGAAATTCCCCCTTTAGAAACTGTCCAGGTATATGCAAAATACTTACGGTGAATCATCATACAAATATTTAAACAGGTGAACCACTGTAACTAAAGCAGATTCTAAGTTACAATGTCCTAAATGGGGATTTTTTGAGCTGCCCAAATTAGTGTACTGGTGAATGAGGATGGAAAATGCAGGCACAAAAACTAAACAACCAAAATGGGAGAGCTACTTTCAGTGGTATCTGGAGAGTAGCAAAAGGAGGGAAGACTGCCTCATCTCCCTTACAGAATGCCAGTAAAGAACTTAGAAATGCTAATCAAGAACTTTCTTTTATCTATCTTAAAGAAATCCTGGGAATCCCTTACTTCCCCCTTTGCACCTCCCCCACCTCCACCTACAACCCCACTCTACCCTGACCTCTCTGAACTTCCCAGACAAGATCTGCCCTTCCTTCTCCTGCATGTCTACCACTCACTCAACAGAAGGAAGTAAGTAGTCTTACTTCAAAGACCTACCCCCTGATGATTTTCTGACAGCCCCAGTGGTAGCCTCTCATCTGAAAGGTGTGGAAAAGGATGACCCTGCAGGGACATCTCTCATGATCACCCCATTTCAGGAACAACTAGTAATAGGTAGGGGAACCCCAGTGATTGTCCACCAAACCTGGTCAAAGGCTGAGTTGCAAGGCATAGTTAAAAAAATGTCCTGATCCCCATAAAGATCCAATTGGGTTTGCCTGAGAAAGTGAGCTCATCATCAGAACCTATGACCAATGTCATTTAGATCTTTATGAGCTAGTCCACATGTTGGTCTCAGAAGCAAAACCAAGGAATGGCTGGGAAAAGCACAGTGGCCAGACCCTATAGCGGATTTGACCCCTGAAGGAACAATAAAGTCACAACAATCAGCCCTCCAAAATCCAGAAGATAGGCACAAAGAGGCACGAAAATGAGCAACTCCTCTGTTAAATATCATTCCTTCAGTGTTGCAAATGGTTGTGGATTGGAATCAAGTCCAACAATGCCAACGGAACCCAAGTGAATCAGTTTTAGATTATTTCACACATTTTGATAAAACTTTAAGACAATATTGTGGGATGTCAGTGGATTGCTTTGAAAAAAATTAAAATGATATATAATTAAATGCAAATTTATTACATGGACTAGAGGATGATTTAGTCTCCCTTCTCTAATGTCACATGACAAATTGGGCCAAGGCCAGAACTAATGAACAAGTTTACATAGCTTACCAATTATCCTGCACTATGATAAAAAGGAAAAACAGAAGATTGCCCAAGTTATGCACTTACAGCTAAAGTAAGTAACTTCTCAAACCTCTCAGCCACAGAAATATTTTAAGCTCCCTCGGTTTGAGGACTCCTCCCTCCCAGTCTGTTACTACTGTAAAAGACTGGGACACCTTAAGAGGAATTGTCTTAGGCTGAAACAAACAAACCAAAAAAGGCAGGAGAATGCAACTCAGGAAGACTAGGAATTCTTCGAGGAAGTACAGGGTTTCACCTCTCCAAATATTGTATCCTGACAAACAAATTGGGAGAGATTAGTAATAAACCATAAGCTTACAACTGCCTTAATTGACACAGGTGCAACAATATCTCTGATAAATTTTGCCTTATTTATAAACCCCAATCCTTGACGTGATGAAAGAATTAACATGGTGGGTGTGTCTAATAAAACCATCTTGTGTTTTAAGTCCAAACTTGTACCTTACCATTTGTCAGGTTAAGTTCCTCCACTGCAGGCTCTAAATATGACAGGCTCAGTCAGTCCCATATGTTTCTAATATGCTCTGGGGCCCCTGTTAATCTTTTGGGCCGTGATCTCCTCAGCATCCATAATGCCCATATCTCTTTTTCATCAAAAGGTAAACATTTTTTAGAATTAGAGCCAGAGGAGCAAAAATACCAAATTAAAAAAACATCCTGACAATGTACCACGATTTAGTGCTAGTAATGTTAAAATGTCATCTTGTGACCAGGAAAATGAAACAGAAACAGAGAAGGAAATATTAAGAGAGAAGAGAGAACATTGGAATAAAGAGCAGAAAAGAGTAAAACTCTTTTTAGCGTCCTCAATCTTCCTGTAAACCCCAGAAGCAGAGCACTTGCTCAAGGATGTCCACTCCCACTTATAGTCTCAGTCAAATACAGATATAGGGAAAATATTCTCAGCCACTCCAATTAAGGTAGAGATAAACCCAAGGAAACCCCTACCCAACCTTGAACAATATCCTCTACAACAGGCAGCCATAAATGGAATTGCCCCTATCATATAAGATTTTCTGAAAAAGGGACTCAATTTTTCCTGCACACACGCCTGCAGCAGCCCTATATTCCCTTCCCAAGTGGGAGACGATGGAGATTTGTGCAGGACTTGAGGACAAAGAACAATATCATAGTACCCAGACACCCAGTAGTCCCCAAACCATATATATTTCTATCAGCTATACTCATTACCAGCCAGTATTTCTCAGTTGTGGATCTCTGCAGTGCCTCCTTTAGTATTCCTGTAGATCCGGACAGCCAATATTTGTTTCCATTTACTTGGAAAGAATGGCAACATATGTGGACTATAATGCCCCAAGCGTATACAGTAAGTTCCAGTTACTTCTCCCAAATATTAAAAGCTAATTTAAAGGATTTAAATTTTCCCAAGAGCTCAACACTCATCCAGTATGTAGATGACCTTCTCCTTTGTTCAAACACAATCTCTTGCTCTCAGGAAGATAGTCTATATTTACTCAAATGGCCACCAAGGGACACAAAGTGTCCAAAGACAAACTTCAGCTATAGTTACAGCAAGTTAAGTATTTGGGGCATATTATCTTGGTCAAAGGACTGAGTATTAACCTGGACAAAGTGAGAGGAATTTTAGCTTTTTCACTGATTGTCACCAAGAAACAAGTTAGAGCATTTTTGGGCCTGGCAGTCTACTGTAGAAACTGGATATGAAATTTCTCCCTTATGGCTTAACCTCTGTATGCATACCTAAAAAACATGCAATCTGATCCCATCATGTGGACTCCAGAAGGACAATCAGCTGTACAACAAATAAAGGAAATTCTAACTAATGGCCCATCCTTAGGTCACCCAAACTACAAATTGTCTTTCTCCATTTTTGTACACAAAGTTGGAGATACTGCATCAGGGGTACTGACCCAGAAACATGGTGATCATCAGAGACCTATAGGCTATTATAGTCAACAGCTGGACTTCAGGGCTGCATCTCGAGGGTTGCTTCCTTGTGTGAGAGAAATAGCAGTCATGGCTCTTTAGTACAAGTCTGTTGAAGAAATAATTATGGGTTCCCCCTTACCATTTTGTGCCACATTCTCTTGAGACTCTTCTAAACTCTCGTCATAGTCAACATCTGTCTGTCAACTGGCAGGCCTCTTATAAAATTTTGTTTTTATCATCTGCCAATATCACTATTTCCCACTGTAATAATCTTAATCCAGCCACTCTCTTGCTGGGCCCTTTGACAAATCCATTCATGATTGTGTCCTGATGACTGACTGACTTCTTACCCCCAGGACAGTCCTACAAGAGATACCACTGGATAATGCTGAAATTGAATGGTATACAGATTGGTCTTATTTAAAAGGAGAAGATGGAAATTTTAGAGCAGTATATGCTGTGGTGTCCTTACTAGAGGTAATTGAAGCCAGTTCTCTTCCCCAAGCCAGATCAGCTCAAGCGGCTGAATTGATTGCCATGACCCAAGCTTGTCAACTGGCAAAATACAAAGTTGCAAACTTATACACTAACAGCTGTCATGCTTTTAGGGTGCCCATGACTTTGGGATGCTATGGAAGGAGAGAGGATACTTAACCTCCTCAGGGCAGCCCGTAAAAATGGACAAGTATCAGAGCTGTCAGAAGCTCTTCTAAAACCAAAACATTTGGCAATTATAAAAATCCCAAATCACTCAAAATTAGACACCACAGGAAGTCAGGATAACAAATTGGCTGATGCCACAGCTAAAAGAGCAGCATTTGAGCCATGAGCTCCAATCTGGGAAATGGTCATAAAACCCAAAACACTTAAAAACATGTTGAAAGAAACCCAGAGCATAGCTCCTACAAAAGAGAAATCTACTTGGAAATAGGCAGGGGGATAATTGTCTCCCAAAACTGAAGTATGGTGTAGGCCGAATAATAAACCCATTAGTCCAATGGGATGTTAGGTGCCCCTTATGGAATATGTTCATGATCTAACCCATTGGAATCCAGATGAAATGACACCCTGGTGTAAACAATATTACTGGAAACCATCCTTTACAGTGGCACAGAAGTTCACATTCAATGTGTTATTTGTCCCGAATATAAACCAAGAAAGCTCCTCCATGGGGCCCAGGGTCATTTTCCCCTTCTGGCTAGACCTTTTGAGATATGGCAGCTTGATTTTATCCAGCTGCCATAATCTCAGTGTTACAATATGTTTTAATAAAAGTCTGCATGTTTTCCCATTGGGTTGAAGCTTTCCCTGCAGGCAAGCAACAGCTATGGCAGTTGGAAACATCCTACTGGAAACAATTATTCCATTGTGGGGAGTACCTTGTGAACTTCACAGTGACAGGGAACTCACATTACTGGTCAGTTTATTCAAAATATTTGTAAAATTTGGCTCATATTTTAACATTTTCATTGTGACTACAATCCCTAGTCTTCAGGCTTGGTGGAGAGGACCAATGGAATAATTAAAACACAATTGGCTAAGTTCACAGAGACATTTCACTTTCCCTGGCCTAAAGCACTTGCCCTAGTGCTACTTACACTCTGATCCACCCCTTTTGGAAAACATCACCTGTCCCCTTATGAAATTATAACAGGAAAGCCCATGTGTATGACAACGAAAATTAGCAATTCAAATTATCTCAAGGGAAACATATTGCAGTATTGTAAAGGACTCATTTATCATCTTAGAAAAGGCCAAGATTTGGTAAATAATTTTTCTCAGTGTGCTCCCTGAAGATAAGGTGCCTGGGCATGATCTGCAACCTGGAGATTTTGTTTATTGGAAGAGACATCTAATAAAGGATTCCCTCCAACCCCAATAGAAGGGCCCACACCGGCTACTAATGACTAATCAATTTGCCGCAAAATTAGAGGGTATAGACTCATGGATTCACATCTCTCATCTTAAAAAGGCACAACCTCCTAAGTGCACTGTAACTCCCAACAAAGACCCTCACCTCCAGTTCATTAAACATCAACCTTCAACCCGGGATTAGAAGCAGACAACAGCTATTGTGGACAGCTTAAACCCAAGCCATAGGACCAGACCTGTATAAAAAGGAATGCCTTTGTTTATTGTACAATAACCATTACAATTATTGTCCTAGAGATACTGGCAACTGCTGTCTTATAGAACAGGGCACTTGCTTTGTCTGATTTAACAAAACTTTAATAGCTAAAATGAATTTCATAACCTTGTTATTATTCATCCTATATCCCTACACCTTCTTGCCATGCCACCTACTGATGCTCATGAAACCTATTTCTACAATGGGTTCAGGATTACACAGACAGATTACAAAAGGACACCTGCTGGATATGCAGACTCATCCCTCTTTCCAGTGGCTCGGGGCTATCATGGTGGGTATTCCCCTTCCAAGGTCAGGACTGGATAGAATACCAAAAATGTATTATGTTACAGATATGATCTGATATTCTTAATGCTGGCATAACAAAATAAAATATTTATAATTGCCCCATTAAAAACACTTTTAAGAACAAGGGACATGGGAAAAAATTTTCAATGGAAAAGACCCACTCATTAGCTCTCACTTTAGCATTCCCCCAACTAAAACAGAAGGTAGTAATTGCACCCAAAACAATTACTCATTTTCAAAATGAAATAATGCAAATTTGGGGCAAATTTATTTGGCTCACCCCTTCATTTGGCCAACTCAGCCAAAATGCCCCTTTGTGCTGGGAGCAAAGAAATCACACCAAGGACCTATGGCCAAACAGTATGAGAGATATAGGGTGGCTGCCTGGAGAATTCTGTGACCACATTGTCATATCACAAGACATCAACTGGCATGCCACTGATTGGGTGCAACGACCAGGTATTTATTTGCTAGCTCCAAAGGGGACATGTTGGCTATGTGGCACCAACTTATGGCCATGGCTACCCCCAGGGTGATTAGGATGATGTTCCCTAGGTTATGCTGGGCACAAAGATGAGTAATTCAGACCCTGCCAAAACCAGCAAACCTTTTCTATTTACAATCTCATTGGACACATTCGGTATTTCAATGGTATAGTCACTTAGCTCCAATCTTTGTGCCAAGGATAGGTATTAAAGATGTTATATGGCATGTAGAGGCCTTAATGAATTACACCTAAAAGGCCCTGAATGAATGATAGCCATATGAGTATCTTCTTGCTGAACAATGAGGTCATGCTTATGCAGAAAGCTGTGCTGCAAAACTGTATGGCTTTAGATATATTCATGGCAGCACAAGAGGGGACCTGCACCATCACAAAAACAAAATATTGTGTGTATATTCCAGATGAATTGAAGAGCATAATCTGACTTATGACTGATATGAAAACTTACATCATATGTCAGACCCCAACCCTCACTTATCGATTGGTTGAGTGGTTGGTTTGAATCCTGGGGAATTTGGCGGCAGAAGCTATTGCTTATAATAGGAATAATAATAATTTGTGTTCAGTCCTGTTTCTGCTTACAATGTTGTTATGGTATGTGCTTGCTAATAAGTCAACATACAACAGAAAGGGCTAGGGTAATGATTGCCCACAGAATTGCTCTAATTGAGGAGGCAGCAATACAGACTGACTCAACTTCCAGGTTTGCTTTCCTTTTGTTGCTATAAATCTGCCCCAATTCTCTATATACATATTTTTCTTCTCTTTTCTTTCATTTTTTCTTCCTTTCTCCCTCTATTTTTTTATCTTCACGCAACATGACTTCCTAGGAATGAGCGTTCCTAGCAATGTGGGACAAGACCTCCTAGGAATGAGTCTTCTTTGCAACACAGAAACTGAACTTCTAGGAATGAACTATCCTAGCAATGAGAAACCAGCCCAAATAAGGAGAAGAAAGCAACTTGAGACCAGGAACCCATATTCCTTTTAAAATATTTTGTCAAAAATGTTTTCTTCAAAGAGGGTAATGTGAAAAAAATTGAATTTTGGGACTGCAAACTCACTTAGCCAAGGGAAAAAGTCAAGCTGGAAACTGGGTCACACAAACCTGCCTTCCCCTTTTGGTTCCTAAGTAAGATTGCTACAAGATGAAAAGCCACATGCCTCCTCCATATTTTGCCCACATTGAAATTCCTAGTGAGCTTCAAGATCTTTTAAGGTGCTTCTGTTAAAATTTCACTATGGTAATATAAATTGATAGCTTATCTTTACAGGTGCAGTCACCTTTGGCCCACCAGACACAAATGCATATCTGTTTGTTTCCCCTGCCCCATTTTGTCTATGTTATCTTATGTAAAATGCAGATTCCCTGCATTTTTCCTCTACCCCATTTGTCTGTCACCTTATGTAAAAAAAAATTCAGATTCACTGAGACAGACAAAGTCATGAATATTTTTCTTTACCCTTCTCTTACATAAAAATTGTGTACTTCTCAATATCCCACCCTTTCTCCTTTAAGTTTGGAGCCCTCAAAATCATCTTTGGAGAAAGGCATAGACCTGTCTCCTGGGTGCACCTGCTTAACTTTGGCAAATAAACCTCCTAAAATGATTGAGACTTGTTTCATTATTTTTCTCAACTGACACCTCCAAACAGCAATGTTCTGCAATGTTCTCCAATAAGAGTTTTTCACCAGGCTGAGCTGGCTAAAATGACAGAAATATATTTCAGAATATGGATAGGGAGCTGGGTGTGATGGCTCATACCTGTAATTCCAGCACTTTGGGAGGCTGAGGCAGGCAAATTACTTTGAGCTCAGCAGTTCGAGACCGCTTGGACAACATGGTAAAAACCTAACTCTACAAAAAAAAAATACAAAAATTTGACAGGATGGTGACTTCTGCCTGCAGTCCCAGCTACTTGGGAGGCTGAGGCTGGATAATTGCTTAAGCCTAGAAGGCAGAGGTTTCAGTGAACCAAGATCATGCTACTACACTTCAGCCTCGGTGCCAGAGTGAGACTTTGTTTCAAAAAAATAAAAATAAAAATAATAGAATATGGATAGGATGAAGAATATTGAGATTCAGAAAGATAGCAAAACCCAAACTAAAGAAACTAAGAATTACAATAAAGCAATACAGGATGAAACAACCAGTACAAAAAAGAAACTAGTGGGTCTAACAGAGTTGAATAATACAATAATGTCACAATTTAACCACAAGTATTAACTGCAGAATAAACCAAGCTGAGCAAAGAATCTTGGAATTTGAAGACTGCTTCTCTGAAATAAGAAAGTCAGACAAAAGTTTTAAAAAGTAGAAAAAGAATGCACGAAATATCTGAGAAACATGAGATTATATAAAGAGGCCAAATCTACAAATCATTGGCATCCCTGAAGGAGAGGAATAGAAAGCAAACAACTTGGGAAACATATTTTAGGATATCATCAATAAAAATTCCCCAACCTTGTTAGAGAGGTCAACTCTCAAATCCAGGAAAAGCATAGAACTCCTGAAAGATTTTACACAAGGAGATCATCATGAAGACACATAATAATCAGAATTTTTCAAGGTTGAAATGAAAGAAAAAATATTAAAGCCATCTAGATAAAAAATGCAGGTCACCTACAAAAGGGAACTCCATCAGGCTAACAGTGGACATCTCAGCTGAAACCTTACAAACCAGAAGAGATTGGGAGCCAATATTCAACATTCTTAAAGAGAAAAAAAATCTTCAATCAATAATTTTATATTTAGCTAAACTAAGCTTTCTGAGTAAATGAGAAATAAAATTCTTTTTGGTTAAGCAAATGTTGAGGGAATTTGTTATCATCAGGCATGCCTTACGAGAGATCTTGAAAGGAGCACTAAATATGGAAAGGAAGGACCACTACCAGATAATACAAAAATACACTGCAACCCACAGATCAGTTTTACTATAGAGCAACCACACAAGCAAGCCAACGTAATAACCTGCTAAAAGCACAATGAAAGGATCAAATCCACACATATCAATACTAACATTGAATGTAAATGGGCTAAACACCCCAATTAAAAGACACAGATAGACAAACTGGATTTAAAAAGTAAGACCCAATGGTATGCTGTCTTCAAGAGACCCATCTCACAAATAATGACACCCACAGGCTCAAAATAAAGGGATGCAGGAAAATCTACTAAGCAAATAGAAAACAGAAAATAAGGAGGGTTGCAGTCCCAAATTCAGACAAAACCGACTTCAAACCAACAAAGATAAAAAAAAAAGGCCGGGCGCGGTGGCTCACGCCTGTAATCCCAGCACTTTGGGAGGCCGAGGCGGGCGGATCACGAGGTCAGGAGATCGAGGCCATCCCGGCTAAAACGGTGAAACCCCGTCTCTACTAAAAATACAAAAAAATTAGCCGGGCGTAGTGGCGGGCGCCTGTAGTCCCAGCTACTTGGGAGGCTGAGGCAGGAGAATGGCGTGAACCCGGGAGGCGGAGCTTGCAGTGAGCCGAGATCCCGCCACTGCACTCCAGCCTGGGCGACAGAGCGAGACTCCGTCTCAAAAAAAAAAAAAAAAACGAAAGAAGGGTGTTACATAATGGTAAAGGTCTCAATTCAACAAGACTTAACTATTCTAAATATGTATGCACCCAACACAAGAGCACCAAGATTTATAAACCAAGTTTTTAGATCTCTACAAAGAGACATAGACTCCCCAATAATAGTGGGAGATTTCAACACTCCACTGACAGTATTAGACAGATCATCAAGGCAGAAAATTAACAAAGATATTCAGGACCTAAACTCAACATTGAACCAAATGGATCTGATAGATCTTTACAGAACTCTCTACCCAAAAAACAACAGAATATACATTCTTCTCATTGCTCCATGACACATACTCAAAAATTGACCACATAATTGAACATAAAACAATCTAAAAGAACACAAATCATACCAAACACACTCTCAGACCACAGCACAACAAAAATAAAAGTCAAAACAATGAAAATCGCTCAAAACCATGCAATTATATGGAAATTAAACAACACGCTCCTGAATGTCTTTTGGGTAAATAATAAAACTAAGGCAGAAATAAAAAAGTTGTTTGAAAATAATGAGAGCAAACATACAACATACAAGAGTCTCTGAGACACAGCAAAGGCAGTGTTAAGAGGGAAATTCATAGCACTAAATACCCTCAGCAAAAGTAAAAATGAGCTTAAATTAAGAACTTAACTTTAAAACTGGTAGAATTAGAAAAGCAAGAACAAATCAACCCCAAAGCTAGCAGAAGATAAAAAAAAAAAAAAAAAAAAAATTAGAGCTGAACTAAATGAAATGAAGACTCAAGAAAGCACTCAAAAGATAAACAAGTCCAACAATTGGTTATTGAAAAAAATAATAAAATAGATAGGCCACTAGCTAGACTAATATATAAGAAAAGAGAGTAGATCCAAATAAACACAATTAGAAATGACAAAGGGAATGTTACCACTGACTGCACAGAAACAAAAACAACCATCATAAACTACTACAAACACCTCTATACACACACACAATCTGAAAAACCTAGAATAAATGAATAAATTCCTGAAACACACCCTTCCAAGGCAGGGCCGGGAAGAAATTTATTCCTTGAACAGACCAATAATGAGCTCCAAACTTGAATCAGTAATAAGTAGCCTATCCACCAAAAAAAGCCCAGGACCTGATGAATTCACAGTCAAATATTACAGAAAATATTCCAAGAAATTGAAGAGGAGGAGCTCTTCCTAAATTTATTCTAAGAAGACAGCATCATCTTGATAAAAAAACCTGTCAAAGACATAACAAAATAAGAAAAGTTCAAGCCAATATTTTTGATAAACATTAATGCAAAAATACTAAAAAAAAACCCCAGCAAACTGAATCCAGCAGCACATCAAAAAGCTGATTCATCACAATCAACTGGCTTCATCCTTGAGATGCAAGGTTGGTTCAACATGTGCAAATCAATAAATGTGATTCATTGCATAGACAGAAATAAAAACTAAAACCACATTCTTATCTCAGTAGATGTGGAAAAGACTTTTGATAAAATTCAACACACCTTTATGTAAAAAAAAACCTCTAAAAATAGGTATTAAAGAAACATACCTCAAAATAATAAAAGCCATCTATAGAAAACCCAAAGCTAACACATTTTTAATGAGCAATAGCTGGAAGCATTTTCCTTGAAAACTGGCACAAGACAAGAATGTTCTCTCTCACCACTTTTATTCCTCATAGTATTGAAAGTCCTGGCCTGTACAATCAGGCAAGAGAAAGAAATAAAGAGCATCCAAATAGGGAGAGAGGAAGTCAAACTATCTCTGCTTGCAGAGGACATTATTCTATATTTAGAAAACCCCAGTCTCAGCCCAAAAGCTCCTTCAGCTGACAACTCCAGCAAAGTTTCAAGATACAAAATCAATGTACAAATATTACTGGCACTTCTATAAACCAAAAACAGGCAAGTCAAAGACAAATTAGGAAGGCAATCCCATTGATAACTGCACCCCAAAGAATAAAATACCTAGAAATATGGCTAACCCAGGAAGCAAAGGATCTCTATGATGAGAATTATAAAGCACTGCTAAGAAAATCAGAGACAACAGAAATGAATGGAAAATCATCTCATGATCATGGATAGAAAAAAAATATATCATTAAAATGGCCATAGTGCCCAACAAAATTTAAAGATTCAATGCATTCCTATCAAACTACCAGTGGCATTCTTCACAGAACTAGAATAAAACTATTTTAAAATGTATATCAGATTAAAAAAAAAAACAAATAGCCAAGGCAATCTTATACATAAAGAACAAAGCTGGAGGCATCGTTACCAAACTTCAAACTATTCTACAGGGCTACAGCAACCAAAAAAGCAAGATGCTGGTAGAAAAATGTGCACATAGACCAAAGCAACATAATAGAGAACCCAGAAATAAGGCCACACATCTACAGCCATCTGATTTTTGACAAAGCTAACCCAAACAATCAATGGGGAAAAGACTTCTTATTCCCAGCTGAGATAACTGGCTAGCCATACGCAGAAGATTAAAGCTGGACCCCTTACTTACACCATACAAAAAATCAACTTGAGAAGGATTAAAGACTTAAATGTGAAACCCAAACCTATAAAAACCTTGGAAGACGACCTAGACAATACCATCTTGGCCATAGAAATGATCAAATATTTCATGACGCAGACACCAAAAGCAATCACAACAAAAGCAAAAATTGACAAATGAGATATAATTAAACTAAAGAGCTTCTGCACAGGAAAAGAAACTATCAACAGAATAAAAAGACAACCTACAGACTGGGAGAAAATATTTGCAAACTATGCATCTGACAAAGGTCTAGTATCCAGCATATATAAGGAACTTAAACAAATTTACAAGAGAAAAACAAACAACTTCACTAAAAAGTGGGCACAGGACATAACAGATACTTCTCACAAAAAGACATACATGTAGCCAAGAAGCATATGAATAAAATCTCAATATCACTTATCATTAGAGAAATGCAAATCAAAACTTCAATTGGATAACATCTCATACCATTAAGAATGGCTATTATTAAAAAGCCAAAAAACAACAGATGCTGGTGAGGTTGTGGAGAAAAGGGAACCCCTATGCACTGTTGGTGGGAGTATAAATTAGTTCAACTATTGTGGAAAGCAGTATGATGGTTCCTCAAAGAGCTAAAAGCAGAACTACCATTTACCTCAGCAACTCCATTACTGAGTTAAGTGGTGGTATATACTCAGAGGATTATAAATCATTTTACCATGAAGACACATGCATGTGAATGTTCATTGCAACACTATTCACAGTAGCAAAACATGGAATCACCCTAAATGCCCATTAATGACAGATTGGATAAAGAAAATGTGGTACATACACACCATAGAATGCTATGCAGCCATTAAAAAAGTGAGATCATGTCTTTTTCAAGAAGATGGATGGAGCTGGAGGCTATTATTCATACTAAACTAATGCAGAAACAGAAAACCACATACCACATGTTCTCACTTATAAGTGGGAGCTAAATGGTGAGAATTTATAAACACAAAGAAGGAAGCAACAGACACTAGAATCTACTTGAGGGTGGATGTTGTGGGGAGGGACAGGAGCAGAAAATATAACTCTTGAGTGCTGGGTTTAATACCTGGTTGATGGAGTAATCTGCTCAACAAACCCCCATGACAGATGTTTACCTATGTAATGAATCTTCACATTTACTCCCAAAGCTAACATTAAAAGATGGAGAAAAAGAAACAGCCCAATTTGTATTGTAGAAGAAGAAAACAATAAACAAACATATACATTTTTAAAAGCATAATTTCAAGGAAAATAATAGTGTATTAAAGATTGTGGTGACAGTTCCTCTAAACAATGCTGCTTTCATTTTTTTTGTATTTTTTTTCAAATGGTAAAACAATGTATTAAAATAAAAAATGCATATATTAGAAAAGAAGACATATATAAAAGAAATAATCAAATCTTTCATCTCAGGATACTAGAAAAAATAGAAAATAAAATAAAAAATAAGCAGTAGAAATAATAAACATTAGAGCCAAACAGGAAGCTAATAGAGAGAATCAATGAAGCTCAAAGCAGTGTTTTTTAAGGATTAATAAAATCAATGGGCTTCTTCACAAGCTAAGAAGAAAAGAAAGAGAACATAAATCACCAATATGTCAAATAAAAAAGGAAACAAAACTTTATAATTTATGGACAAGAGAAAGATAACAAATACTGTGAACAACTTCATGCCAACAAATTTGACAATACACAAGAAATGGACAGATTTCTTGAAAGTCAGTCTGACAAAACTCACACAAGAAGAAATAGACAATTTGCATGGGCATATATCTATTAAAAATTTGAATAAATAATTAATATTTTTTCAAAACAGAAACACCAGTCCAGAAGCAGATGAAATGCATTTTTATTCTATGAGGTCAGCACTACCCCAACACCAAAATCAGACAAATCCATTACAGGAAAAGACAGCTCCAGAGCAATGTTTCTAATAAACATAGATGCAAATATTCTCAATAAAATGTAGCAAACTGAATTTAACTATATAGAATAACAATTATACACAACAACCAATAGGAATTTATCCCGGGTATGCAAGACTGGCTCAACATTTAAAGATCAATTAATGTAATTTATCATGTCAAGGCTAAAGTAGAAAACTTACATGATTAAATCAATAGTTGCAGCAAAAGCACTTGAAAAAAATCCTACACTATTCATAATAAAAATGTTCAGAAAACTAAAAATGGAGGGAAATGTACCCAACTCAATAAATAATATGTCCAAAAAACCCTACATCTAACATTATACTTACTGGTGAGAAACTTAAAGCTTTCTTACTAAGATCATGTCCTCTCTTACTGCTATTTTTCAACATTATACTCGAAGTCCTAGTTAATGCAATAAGGCAAAAAATGAAATAAAAGGCATAAAAATTGGGAATAAAGAAATCAAACTGTCTTTGTTTGCAGATGGCATACTTGTATGTGTAGAAAATGTAGATGAATAGACGGTAAACAGCTGGAACTAATAAGTAATTATTGTAAAGTCACGGAACACAGGTTAATATACAAAAGTCAATTGCTTTTCAATATACCAGCAATAAACAAGTAGAATTTGAAATTTAAAACACAATGTCATTTACATTACTGCCCCTAAAATGAGATATGTATAAATCTAACAAAATATGTGCAATATCTAGATGAGGAAAACAACAAAACTCTGATGAAAGAAATTAAAAATAAACTAAATAAATTGGGATACATTTCATTGCCAATTCTTCTCAACTTGATCTATAGATTCAAGAAATTCATATCAGCATCACAGCAAGTTATTTTGTGAATGTTAACAATCTGATTTTAAGGTTTATAAGGAGAAACAAAAGACCCAGAATATCCAACACAATGCTGAAGGAGAATAGTCACAGGATTGACAGTACTGATTTCAAAACTTATTACAAATCTCAGTAATCAGGACTATGTGGTATTGACAAAACAGTAGATGAATAGATCAGTGGAAGAGAATAAGAACCTACAAACAGACCCGGATAAATAACATCAATTGAAACTTGACAAAGGCTCTAAGGAGCTAAAGTTATACAATGGAGGAAAATAGTCTTTAACAAATGGTGCTGAAGAAACTGGAAATTCACGTGCAAAAATTTAATGTAGACATAGATTTTACACTTTTCACAAAAATGAACAAAAAATAGATCACAGACTTGAATGTATAATGCAAAACTATAAAAGTCCTAAAAAATAAAAGGAGAAAATTTAGATGACCTTGGGTATAGTAGTAAGTTTTTAGCTACAACTCCAAATGTGTGACCCATGATAAAAAAATGATAAACTGGACATCTTTTTTAATTAAAAACTTTTGCTTTGTGAAAGTTAATGTGAATAGAACAAGAGGAAAAGTCACAGTCTCATATAAAATATTTATAAAAATATTTCTCATAAGGAGCTCTTATCCAAAATACACAAGACCTAAAACTAACAATAAGTAAATGACTAAGCCAATTAAAAATGGGGAAGGGGAGCCAGGGCAAAATGGCTGAATGGAAGCCTCCTCTAATCATCCTTTCCACAGAAACACCAAATTTGTCCATTATCTACACAAAAAGCACATTCACAAGAACCAAAAATCAGGTGAGTGACCACAGTATCTGGTTTTAACTTAATATTACCTAAAGATGCACTGAAAAGGGTCAGAAAGACAGCCTTAGATTGGCAATGTCATTTCTCCCCTGTGGTGCAGAGTGAGAACCTGTGCATTTGTAAGAGAGAGAATGCAGTGATAGGAGACTTTGTATTGAAACTAGTGCTGCCAACACCAGGCAGGACTCAGCCGGTGCCCATGGAGGGAGCATTCAGATCAACTCTAGCCAGAGGAAAATCACCCATCACAGCAGTCAGAACTTGGGTTTCAGCAAGTCTTGCCACTACTGACTAAAGTGGTCTTGAGTCTTAAATAAACATGAAAGGCTGTCCAGGCCACAGTAATTGGAACAACCAGGCAATTTCTAGTGCTGATCTGGGTACAGAGCCAGTGGACTTCAGGGGCATGTAACCTAGTGGGACATCAGCCAGGGAGGCTAAGGGAGCGCTTGGATCACCCCTTACCATCCAACCCCAGGCAGAACAGCTCACAGCTCTGAAGAGACCCCTTTCTTCCATGTAAGAAGAAACAGAAGAGTAAAGAGGACTATTGTGTCTTATAATTTGGATACCAGCTCAGCCACAGTAGTATAGAGCACTGGCAGAGTCATAAGTCCAACAATCCCTGCCCTGGCTCTTGGGTGACATTTCCAGATGAACCCTGGGCCAGCAGAAAACCCACTGCCTTGAAGGAAAAAATCCAGTCCTAGCAGGATTTATCACCTGCTGACTAAAGAGTGCTTGGGTCTTGAATAATCAGCACTAGTAACCAGGTAGTACATGCCATCAACCTTGGGGAGACTTCAAGAGATGCCAGCTTCAGGTGGACCCAGCACACTATAGACAGGATGGCTATGAGGAAAGACTCCTTATGAGTGAGAAAAGCAGATAAAAGAGTAAAGGGGACTTTGTCTTGCAGGTTAGGTATCAGTTTGGCCATAGTGGAGTAGAAAACCAGGTAGGGTTCTCAGGTTCCCAATTCCAAACCTTGGCTTTGAGATGGCATTTATAGACCAACTCTGGGCTGGAGGCGAGCCTACTGCCTTGAAGTGTGAGCCCCAGGACAGACAGCATTTACTGCAAGCTAACTTAAGAACCACTGGGCCTTAAGTGAACACTGACAGTACCCTGGCAGTACTCCTCAGGGTGTCTTCTGATGGTTGTGGACACACGGAGACGCCTCTGCCTGAGGGAAGTGGAAGAGTGGAAAGTATTCTGTCTTGTGGTTTTGGCACCAACTTAGCTGCAGTAGAGTAGAGCACCAGGTAGATTTCTCAGGTTTCCAAGTCTAGGCCCTGGCTCCTGGACAGCATCTCTAGATCCACTCAGGGCCTTCTGGAAGTCATCGCCCTAAAGGTAAAAACACAGGACTAGCCTGCTCTACTACCTGCTGATTATAGAGCCCTGGGGCCTTAAATAAACATGAGTGGCAACCAGGTAGTGGTTACAGCAGGCTTGGGAATAAACCCAGTGCTGTGCTGGCTTCTGCCCTGACCCAGAGCAGTTCCAGTGGTGGTGGCCACAGAGGTGTTTCTGCCATACCTCTCTTATATCCAGACAACTAAGAACAGACAGAAAAACTGGTTGGTTGGGAGAAAGTAAGAGAACAAGAGTCCCAGTCTGTAAGTCAGATAATTTTTCCATATCTTATCCAAGACCACAAAGGCAGTACCTCTACAAGTCTGTAAGGACTACAGCATTACTACGCTTGGGGTTCCCACTTGCATAAATACAGCTGCAGTGACAAAAAACTTAGGTTACCACACTCCAGTCCTTTGAATACCTGGAAAGTCTTTGCAAAAAGGACAGGAACAAAGCCGACACTTTGAAGACTACAATAAATATCCAAATATCAGATGCTGAGACATTGAAAAACATCCACAAACATCAAGACAATCCAGGAAAACATTGTCTCACAGAACACATTAAATAAGGCACCAGTGGCCAATGCTGGAGAGACAGAGAGATATGTGACATTTTAGACAGGGAATTCAAAATAGCCATATTAACAAAACTCAAAGAAATTCAAGATAGCAGAGAGAAGAAACTAAGAATGCTATGAGATAAATTTAACACAGAGATTAAAATAAATTAATAAATTAAGCACATATTCTAGAGTTAAATAATGCAATTGTCATACTGAAGAATGCATCAGTCTCTTAATAGCAAAATTAGTTAAGCAGAAGAAGAAACCGGTGAGCTTGAAGACAAGCTATTTGAAAATACACAGTAAGAGAAAACAAAAAAATAAAAGTAAAGAAGAGTAAAGCATGCCTAGACAATCTATAAAATAGCCTGAAAAACAAAACCTAAGAGTCATCGGTCTTAAACAGGAGGTAGAGAGAGAGATCAGGTAGAAAGTTTATTTAAAGTGGTAATGTTAGAGAACTTCCCAAATAGGTAGAAAGATAACATTCAAGTAAAGAAAGTTATAGAACACGAAGATTTAATCCAAAGATTTAATCAATGTATGTATTAATCAAACTCTCCAAGGTCAAAGATAAAGAAAGAATCTGAAAAGCGGCAACAGAAAAGAAAAAACATACTAGGGAGATCCAACATATCTACAGCAGACTCCTCTGTGGAAACCTTACAGTCCTAGAGAGAGAGAGAGGCATGACATATTTAAAGTGCTGAAGAAAAAGAAAAAAAAAAACCTTTACATAGAATGGTATATCCAGTGAAAATATCCTTCAGTCATGAAGGACAAATAAAGACCATCCCAAGAAAACAAAAGCTGATGGATTTCATCAACACCAGACCTGTCCTACAGAAAATGCTAAAGAAGTTTTTCAGTCTGAAAGAAATGTGGCACATATACACCATGGAATACTATGCAGCCATAAAAAATGATGAGTTCATGTCCTTTGTAGGGACATGGATGAAATTGCAAATCATCATTCTCAGTAAACTATCACAAGAACAAAAAACCAAACACCGCATATTCTCACTCATAGGTGGGAATTGAACAATGAGATCACATGGACTCAGGAAGGGGAACATCACACTCTGGGGACTGTTGTGGGGTGGGGGGAGGGGGGAGGGATAGCACTGGGAGATATACCTAATGCTAGATGACAAGTTAGTGGGTGCAGCGCACCAGCATGGCACATGTATACATATGTAACTAACCTGCACAATGTGCACATGTACCCTAAAACTTAAAGTATAATAATAAAAGAAAAAAAAACTTAAAAAAAAGAAAGGAGATTAACGAGCAGTAAGAAATCCTATGAAGGTACAAAACTCACAGGTAATACCAAGTACACAAGAAAGCACACAGTATTACAACACCATAATAGTAGCATCCACTAGAGACACTTATATCTTAAGTAGAAATATGAACAGATAAAACAATAAAAAGACAACAACTTTTCAAGACATAATACAATAAGATATGTAAACAGAAACAAGAAAAAGTCAAAAATTGGGATGACAAAGGTAAAGCATTGAGTTTTATTTGTATTTTTTTCTGTTTGTTAGTTTCTTTATGCAATTAGTGTTAAGTTGTCATCAGTTGAAAATAATGGGGTATAAGATGTTATCTGTAGCCCTTATGGTAAGCTAAAATATAAAAACATACAATGGATACACAAAATACAAAAAGCAAGAAATTAAATAAATATACCACCAGAGAAAATTACCTTCAATAGCTGCAGAATACACATTCTTCATCTCAGTACATGGATCATTCTCAAAGATAGACTACATGTCACACCATAAAATAAATCTTACAATATTGAAAAAAAATTGACACAATTTCAAGTATCTTCTTGACCAAAATGAAATAAAACTACAAACAATAAACAAAAGGAATTTTGGAAACCCTACCAGCACATGGAAATTAAACAATATGCTCCTGAATACCAGTGAGTCAATGAAGAGAGTAAAAAGCTGAAAGTTTTCTTGAAAAAAAATGATAATAGAAATACAACAGATCAAAATCTTTGGGATACAACAAAAGCAGTGCTAAGAGGAAAATTTATAGCTGTAAGTGCCTACATTGAAAAATAATAATATCAGATAAAATAAATAACGATAGATGAATCTTAAAAAATAGAAAAGCCAGAGCAAAGCAAACCCAACATTAGTAGAAGAAAAAAAGTAATGAAAGAGGTAAAGCAAGATGGTGCAGTAAAAGACTCCGCTGATTGCCCAACCCCCACCCCCACAAGGACACAAATTTAACAAATATCTACACAGATAAGATACCTTTTAAGAACCAAAAAAGTCAGGTGAGCCCTCATAACACTTGGTTCTATCCTTGTATTGCTGAAAGAGGCACAGAGAGATTAAAAAAAAAAAGTCTTGAAACACCAACATCACTCTTCCTCCATCCCACAGCAGTGGCAATATGGGCTGGAGAGCATTTCTGTGTGCTGGGGTAGGGAGAGTAAAAAAATGTGAGGCATTGAACTCAGTGTTGTCTTCTTAAAGCAGAAAAAAAAAAAAACCAAAAAAAAAACACAGACCAAACTCAGCTGATGCCCACCCAGGGAGGAAGCATTTAAAGCAGCCCTAGACAGAGGACAATCACTAATCCCAGGGGTCTGAACTTGACTTCCCACAAACCTCGCCACCACACTACTAACATGCTCTGTGATCTAAATAAACTTGAAGGGCAGTCTAGGCCATAGAAACTGAAAGTTATAGGTGAGTTCTGGTGATGAAATGGGTGCAGTGACAATAGACTGGGGAAGCGGCACATTATCTACTGAGATACCAGCTAGGGCAGCTAGGGAAATGTTGGTGCCACTCCTCCCCTAACCACAGGCTGTACAACTTGTAGATACAAAAGAAACTCCTTCTTTTTGCTTGAGGAGAGGAGAGAAAAGAGGTGGGAGGACTTTGTTTGGCATCTTGGATACAAGCTCAGCCACAGCAGGGTAGGGCACTGGACAGACTCATGAGTCATTCATTCCAGGCCCCTGGATGACATTTCTAGACAGACACACCCTGGCAAGAAAGAAACCCACTGCCTTAAAAGAAAGGACCCAGTCTAGGAAGCATTTATCACCTGCTAACTGAAGGGCCCTTGGGCCCTGAATAACCAGCAGTGATACCCAGGTACTATGTTGAGGGTCTTAGGTGAGCATCTAAAGTTTGTTGGCTTCAGGTGAGACTCAGCACATTACCAGCTGCAGTGGCTGTGGGACAAAACTCCTTCAGCTTCAGAAAAAGTAAAGAGAATTTTGCTTTGCCCCTTAGGTACCCACATGGCCAGCAGTGTCTTAGAACATTGAGCAGGCTTTTGGAGTCTCAGATTCCAAGACTTGACTCTTGGATGACATCTATGGATCTGCCCTGGGCCACAAGGGAGCCCACTTCCCTGAAGACTGAATCCTAGTCCAGGCAGCGTACAACACAACCTGACTAAAGAGCCCTTGGGCCTTGAGGGAACATTGGCGGTAGTCTGGCAGTATTCCTCTATCAGTAAGAAAGAACTACAGCATTACTGGGTTTGGGGTGCCCATAAAAGCAGATACCACTTAGATTACAAAACCCAAGTCATTTCAAATATCTGGAAAGAATTCCCAAGAAAGATGGGCAAAAACAAGCCCAGACAGTGAAGACTACAATAAATACCTAACTCTTCAATGCCAAAACATTAAAAAATATCTACTAGGGTCAGTTCTATCCAGGAAAACATGACCTCACCAAATGAAATAAGTAAGCCACCAGGAATAATTTCTGGAGAAAAAGAGACATGTCACCTTTCAGCTTTCAGATAGAGGAAACAAAAACAAACAAACAAACAAAAAAGATAAAACAAAGAAGGGATTCAGAATTCAATCAGATAAATTTAACAAAAAGATTGAAATAAAAGAAATCAAGCAAAAATTCTGGAGCTAAAAAATGCAATTGCCATACTGAAGGGTGCATCACAGTCATTTAATGGCAGATTTGATCAAGCAAAAGAAAGACTTAGTGAGCTTGAAGACAGGCTATTTGAAAATACACAGAGGAGGCAAACAACGAAGCACATCTTCAGGATCTAGAAAAACTGCCTCAAAAAGGAAAATTCGATAGTTGTTGGCCTTAAAGAGGAGGTAGAGAAAGATACAGGGGCAGAATGTTTATTCGAAGGGATCAAAACAGAGAGCTTCCCAAACCTAGAGAAAAATGTCAGTATCCAAGTACAAAATTAAGTACAAGCAGACTTAATCCAAAGAAGACTACCTCAAATATCATGAATAAAGAAAGGATCCTCAAAACAGCAGGAGAAAATAAACAGATAACATACAATGGAGCCCCAATATGTCTGACAGCAGACTTTTCAGTGGAAATTTTACAGACCCGGAGAGAGTGGCATGATATATTTCAAATGCTGAAGAAAAAATTTTTTATCCCAGAATAGTATACCGTGTGAAAATGTCCTTAAAACATGAAAGAGAAATAAAGACTTTCCTGGACAAACAAAACCTAAGGGATTTCATCAACACCAAACTTGTCCTACAAGAAACACTAAAAGAGTATTTCATTTAGAAAGAAAAAGATGTTAATGAGCAATAAATAATCACCTGAAGGTTCAAAACACACTGGTAATAGTTCACTCACACACAAAAATCCATAGAATATTATAACCCTTTAAGTGTGGTGTGTAAACTAACTCTTATACTAAGTAGAAGGACTAAAAGATCAATCAATCAATCAAAAATAATAACACCAACTTTTCAAGACATAGACAGTACATTAAGATATAAATTAACACACAAAAAAAGTTAACAAGTAGGGGAATGGAGTTAAGGCATAGGATTTTTATTAGTTTTCTTTGTCCTTGTTTGTTTGTTTATGCAAAGAGTGTTAAGTAGTTATCAGGTTAAAATAATGAGTTATGAGTATTTGCAAGCCCCATGGTAACCACAAACCATAAAACATGCAATGAATCATAGAAACAAACAGTAAGGAACTATATCACCAGAGAAAATCACCTTCACTAAAGGTAGACAGGAAGATAAAAAAAGAAGGAAGAGAAGAACATAGAACAGCCAGATAACAAACAACAATATGGCAGGAGTAAGTACTTACTTATAAATAATAACATTGAATGTAAGTGGACTAAACACTCCAATCAAAAGACATAGACTGGCTGATGGATGAAAAAAAAAAAAGACCCCCCAATCATTGATCTGTTACTTACAAGAAACACACATCACTTATAAAGACACACGTAGACTAAAAATAAAGACATATAGAAAGATATTTCATGCTAATGGTAACCAACACAAGAGCAGGAGTAGCTATACTTATATCAGACAAAATAAAATTCAAGATGAAAACTATCATAAGAGACAAAAAGGTCACTACATAAGGATAACGAGGTCAATTCAGCAAGAGGATATAACAATTTTAAATATACACCCAAGCTGGGTGTATTGGCTCACGCCTATAATCTCAGCACTTTGGGAAGGCTGATGCAGGCAGATCCCTTGAGTCCAGGAGTTCAACACCAGCCAGACCAACATGATGAAACCCCGTCTCTACTAAAAACACAAAAATTAGCCAGGCATGGTGTCACCCACCCATAATCCCAGCTGCTCAGGAGTCTGAGGCATGAGAATCACTTGAACCTGGGAAGCAGAGGTTGTGGTGAACTGAGATTGCACCACTGCACTACAACCTGGACAACAGAGTGAGACTCTGCCTCAAAACAATAAATAACTGAAAATAAATTCACAAGTAAATAAATATGCACCCAACACTAGAGTACCCAGATATATGAAGTGGATATGGTTTGAGCTAACAAGAGAAATAGGCCCCAATACAATAATAGCTGGAGACCTCAACAGAACACTTTCAGCATTAGATAGGTCTTCCAAACAAAAAAATCAACAAACATCAGAATTAATATACACTATAGACCAAATGGATACAATATATATTTATAGAACATCTCATCCAATGACTACAGAAAGCATATTACTTTCCTTAGCATATTGATCACTCTCAAGGATAGACCATATATTAGATCACAAAACAAATCTTAAAACATTGAAATAAATTTAAACAATATGAAGCACCTTCTCTGACCACAATGGAATAAAACTAGAAATCAAAAAGGAGGAATTTTGCAAACTATACAAATACATGGAAATTAAATAATATGCTCCTGAATAACCAGTGGGCCAATGAAGAATTCAAAAAAATTGAAATTTTTTTGATACAAATGTTAACGGAAATACAGCATATTAAAATCTGTGAAGTACAGCAAAAGCAGTACTCAGAGGGAAGTTTCTAGCTATACGTGCCTACATTAAAAATAGGGAAAACTTCAAATGAACAATCTGATGATGCATCTTAAAGAACTTAAAAAGCAAGAACAAACCAAACCTTAAATTAGTAGAAGAAAAATTAATAAATATTAAAGAAGAAATAAATGAAATTGAAACAAATAACACCACAAAATATCAATGACATAAACGTTGGTTCTCTGAAAAGTTACACAAAATTGACAAATTTTAGGAAAACAAAGATAAAAGAGAGAAGATACAAATAAATAAAATCAGAAATAGAAAATGAGACATTACAACTGATACTGCAGAAATTCAAACAGTCACTAGTGGCTACTGTGAGCAACTATATGCCAATAAATTGGAAAACCTAGAAGAAATAAACAAGTTCCTAGATACATACAACCTTCCAAGATTGAACCATAAGAACTCCAAAACCTGAACAAACAAATAAAAAGTTATGTAAAAAGTTTTTCATTTAAAAAAAAAAAAGTTTTCCAGTTTTTAAAAAAAAAGGACCTGAAGGCCGCACTGTTGAATTGAACCAATCATTTAAAGAAGAACTAATACCAATCTATTCAAACTATTCTTAAAAATAGAGGATAAGGGGATACTTCCAAACTCATCCTGCAAGGCCAGTATTCCCTGATATGAAAACCAAAGACACCTGAAAAAATAAAAACTACAGGCCAACATTGATGAAGAATATTGATAGAAAAATCCAGAACAAAACACTAGCAAATCAAATTCAACAACACATTGGAAAGATCACTCATCATGAACAAGTGGGATTTATCCCTGGGATGCAAGGATGGTTCAACACATGCAAATCTGTCAATTCCATACATCATATCAAGAGAATGAAGGACAGAATTCATATAATCATTTCAATGGATGTTAAAAAAGCATTTGATAAATTTCAACATCCCTTCATGATAAAAATCCCAGAACCCTGGAATAGAATGAACATACTTCAACATAATAAAAGCCATATATGACAGACCCACAGTTAGTATCATACTGAATGGGGAAAAACAGAAAGCCTTTCTGCTAAGATAGGGGACACAACAAAGATGTTCACTGTCACCACTGTTATTCAACACATTTCTGGAAGTCTTAGGTAAAGCAATCAGAAAACACAAAGAAATAAAGGCCACCAGAACTGGAAATAAAGAATTCAAATTTTCCTTGTTTGCAGATGATATGCTCTTATATTTGAAAAAACCTAAAGACCACACAGAAAAACTATTAGAATTGATCAACAAATCCGGTAAAGCTGCAAAAGAGAAAATTTCTATACAAAAATCAATAGCATTTGCATATGTCAACAGTGAAAAATGTGGAAAAGAAATAAAAAAAATCAATTTACAATACTCACATATAAAATTAAATATCTAGGAATTAACCAAAGAAGTGAAAGATCTCTAAAATAAAAACTACAAAACACTAATAAAAAATTTGAAGACAACACCAAAAACATTCCATATTCATTGATTGGAAGAATCAATATTGTTAAAATGTCTGTACTACCCAAAGCAATCTACAGATTCAATGTTATCTCTATCAAAATACGAATGACATTCTTCACAGAAATAGAAAAAAACAATCCTAAAATCTATGTGGAACCACAAAAGACCCAGAATAGCCAAAGCTATCCTAAGTAAAAATAACAGAAATCACATTACCTGACTTCAAATTACACTACAGAGCTATGGTAATAAAAACAGCATGTTACTGGCATAAAAACAGACACATAGACCAATAGGATAGAATAGATAATACAGAAACAAATCCACACAGAACTCATTTTTGACAAAGGTGCCAGGAATCTACACTAGGGAAAAGGCTCTTCAATAAATGCTGCCTGGAAAACTGGATATTGATGAAATTAGACCTCTATCCCTCATCACATGCAAAAATCAAATCAAAATTCATTGAAGACCTAAATCTAAGACATCGAGTTTTAAAACTACTACAAGAAAGCATTGAGAAAAATCTCTTGGACATTGGTCTGGGCAAAAAATTCTTGAGCAACACCCCACAAGCAAAATCAGCCAAAACAAAAATAGACAAATGGGATCACATCAAGTTAAAAATCTTCTTCACAGCAAAAGATAAAATCAACAAAGTGAAGAGACAACCCACAGAATGAGAGAAAATATTTGTAAACTACCCACCTGACAAGAGATTAATATCCACAATATATAAGGAGTTCAAACAACTCTATAAGAAAAAATCTAATAATCTGATCAAAAAGTAGGCAAAAGATTTTCATAGATATTTTGCAAAAGAAAACATACAAATAGCAAACAACCGTTTTGACAGTGCTCGACATCATTCATTTTCAGAGAAATGCAAATCAAAATTACAATGAGATATCATCTCATTCTAGATTTAAATGGCTTATACTTAAAAGATAGCAATAACGAATGCTGGCGAGCATGTGGAGAAAAGAGAACTCTTGTACACTGTTGGTGAGAATGTACATTAGTACAATCACAATGGAGAAAATTTTGGACTTTCCTCAAAAATTAAAAATTGAATTACCATGTGACTCAGCAATCCCACTGCTGTGTATATATTTCAAAGAAAGGAAATCAGTATGTCCAAAAGATATCTGCACCTCTATGTTTGTTGGAGCACGGTTTACAGTACCTAAGATTTGGAAGCTACCTAAGTGTCCATCAACAGATAAATGGATAAAGAAAATGTGACACATATACACAATGGCGCACTATTCAGCCATAAAAAAATGATATCCAGTCATTTTCAACAACATGGGTGGAACTGTACATTATTATGTCAAGTGAAGTTACCCAGGCAAGAAAAGACAAACATCACTTGTTTTCGTATATTCATGGTATCTAAACATCAAAACAATGTAACTTATAGACACAGAGAGTAGAAGGATGATTATTAGAGGCATAAGAATGATAGTGGGGGACTGTGGGGAAAGTGATGTGGTTATTTAATATAAAAAATAGAGATAATGAATAAGACCTACTACTTTATAGCACACTATGTTGACTATAGTAAATAATAAAATAATTGCACATGTTAAAATAACTTAAAAAGTGTAATTGAATTGTTTGTAATGCAAAGGAAAAATGCTTGAGGATATGGATACCCCATTCTCCATGTTGTGTTTATTTCACATTGCATGCCTGCATCAAAACATCTCATGTATCCCATAATATATACACCCGCTATGTACCCACAAACATTAAACATAGGGACAAAATTACACAGCCTCAGGCATTACTTTATTAGCAACATAAAGTGGACTAACACAGAAATATCTGAAATAATTTCTTAATATTTCCACACCAGGATAAACTGATTGCCAGATAATGAAAATCAAATATTTCCCATTAATTTCAGGCAAATATTTCAGGCAATATTGTTCAATATTGTATTGAACAATGCAATATATACATCATCTATGATATTTATTCTTGAGAATAAATTTTTTTCTTTGTTATCTGATTATTAGCACAGAAGCATAAAGTTCATATAATCAGAAAAGTAGATGGTTTTGTTACTATTTAGATATTACTGTTTCTATCACCTGCTGCTCCATTCTCTGTCTACTATCCTTCTATAACTCCTATTTAAAATATATCAGATCCTGTTACTCAATCTCAATGTACATTATTCCATATTGCAATTTTAATTTTTTTTGAATCTGGTCCCTGACTCAAGGATGTGCACAATTTTCCATGATTTCTTTGTATCTGTCTTTACATAAATATATCTTCTGCTGTGTCAAATCTACTGTTGGACTTAACTCACTAAGATTAGCTTTAGTTATGTTACATTTCTATTTGTACATTTTCTATTTTAAGTCTTCCTATTTATATCTAATGTTCTTATGTTCCTTGCTTGTTGTACATTTATGTGTATGTGAATGTGTGTGTGTATATATATATACACAATAGTATATATACTAGTACTATGTTTTATTATTTACTTTCAGTGTTTGATAATTCTGGTATTTCAAATCATCGAATTTCTAATTTTTTAATGCTAATTTTCTTATAGTAGCATATTTCTTTATGAATTTTGTGATTTTTAAGTTAAACTTTTTATTTTGAGATAATTATAGATTCATATGAAATTACGAGAATAATACAGAGATGCCCTGTATCCATTATCCAATATCTCACAATGATAATGTCTTGCCTAACTATAGCACACTATCACAACTAGAAAATTATCAGTGATCTTATTCAGATTCATTAGTTTTTACATGCACTAACTTTTGAGTGTGTGTGTCAGAGAACCTAGTTATATGCAACGTTTTTACATGTATAGGTTTGCGCAATCACCACTATGATTAAGGTACAGAACAGTTCCATCAGCACAAGGATTCCTGTGTTGATTCTTTTACACTCACTTTTCCCGACATCTCCCTATATCTAGATTTCAGAAATTATTAATCTGTTTTGTTATTTTAAAAATGCTATATAAGAGGAACAATACAAAATGTAAATTTTGGGGCATAAGCATATGTCACTCAGCATAATTTCTATGAGATCCAAAAAAATGTATAAAGTAATAGTTTTGAAATATAAGATTCCACCTGAATATCCCATTTGCACATTATTTATACTCCTTTTTACATACTTTTAAAATAAGAATAATGGAAAAATAATATAAGATACACATAATTTCTGTGAAGTCTGCTTTACAGTTTATTAAATTATCTTCAGATGTTAAGCAGAAACCTATATTAAAATATTTGGTTTTAAAGATACTCTCTAAGGGAGTTGTATGCAAGACATAATAGTAGACCTAAAGATTGAGGTTCTGAGAATTTAAGGCCTGCTCCTTTGGTTGGTGCTCATCCTCTTTGGTTAATAAGTAATCAGTTGTGGTTTCATTTAATCAGAGTTATTCCATATTAAATTATTGTTTTGCCACTTTTAGGGAAAGTTTTACCACAAGAATGTAGATGTTATCAACAATTGGAAACTTTAGTAAGGAAGTAAGGTGGCCTTATTCCAACCATACTGTTGCAGAATCAGGATGATCAGAGAGAGACCTTGGGGTGTATACAGGAGGATGTCTTTATTATTGAGTGCACTCAGACTCAGCAGACTCAACATCCAAAGACTGGGTGCAGAACAAAGACAGCACTTGACTTTTATACACACTTCGCAAAAGGGGGTGGGCTAGCTTGAAGCAGGCTTACAGTTACAGTGACGTGAAAGCAAGGATACAGAGGCAGAACAATTAACTAAATTGTGACAGGTTCATAACTCAGGATTACACATGACCATTGCCAAGCAACCCAGATGTCCATTTTCTAGCTTTTGCTCTGAAGAGCTTTGCACTGGTTTATCTCATAACCTTTACTATGGTGCCCAGACCACTGTAGTTCAGGCCTACTCAGGCTTCTCATGACCTTCATTGTACTTCTTAAATAAAACAGAATACTTGAAGTTACTAGTTACAGAGAACAAGAATCTATAAACTCATATGATAAAACAAAGGAAAATTTGTTTTTCTTCTCCCTATGTTGAGGGAGTGCTGGGAGTCTCCAGAGCACATTAGATAATATTATTAAGACTTTTCCTGGGTCTGGGCTGTGCTTGTTGCTGCCTGTGGGACAAGTCAGCCAAATACAGGAACGCTTATTTCTCTTTCTTTTTAATTTTATTTTTCTTTAATTTCCTGCCTCAATACTTTTGAATGGTATCATATTGATAAATGCAGCCTCTTATAGTCAACTAAATTTATCATGTGTTTTTCTTAGTTTAGAGTCAAAATAACTGATTATGTTGCAAATGACTACTTAAATTTGATCTTCTTAGTGGCTGATAGTTTTTTAAAGACATTTTAGACTACCAATGGTGAAATGGTGGGTCATTAAACCCACTCTTTAAACATCTGTATAGTACTGCATGATCTTTGCTTGAGGTGAAATCCATAGCTCTTATAGATCTATTTTTGTAACTTCAACTTTCTTGTAGAAAGTTATTGATGTCTTATACTTGTGACATATTTGTGGGAGTGATGAGCTGTGATTGGCTTCGTGTTTATACAGCTATCCCAGTATCTCATTCTTTGAATATTCAGTTTTGCTACTTGCAAAAATGTTGTCTCAAATTCATCGACTAAATGTAAAACAAATTCCAATAAATCCTCATTTGTGTGTCTAAATGGAACTTCAGTTTAATTTTAGTACAAGATGAAGAATGTAGATTTCAGTCCTATTTCTACTGCTTTAAAAGGGTTACATTTCTTGCATGTTCTTTTAAACATTATGATAGATTATTTCATTTTCCTTCTTGCAGTAGAATTATACATCTCTGACTTTTTGAACTAAAAATACATACCACCCATGATTATAACTTTATTTAGCCAGTAAAATATGAGTGGAATTTACTGGTGTGATTTATTGCCAATGTATTAGTTTGTTCTTGCACTGCTATAAGGAACTACCTGAGACTGGATAATTTATGAAGAAAAGAGGTTTAATTGACTCACAGTTCAGCAGGCTTAACAGGAAGGATGACTGGAGGCCTCAGAAAACTTAAAAATCATCGTGAAAAGAGAAGGGGAAGCAAGTATCTTCTTCAAATGACAGCAAGAGTGAGAGAAAGAGCAGAAAGGGGGAAGTGCCACTTACTTTTAAACTGTCATATCTCATGAGAGTTCACTCACTATCAGGAGCACAACAATCAAGGGGAAAATCTGTCCCAATGATCCAGTCACCTCCCACCAGGCCCCTTCTCCAATTTGGCATGAGATTTGGGCAGGGACACAAATCCAAACCATATCAGCCAGTATTGTAAGAACCAATGCATATTTCCCCATATCTCTCTTTGCTCTGCTACAAGACAAGTAATGTACTAGATACATGTATAGTTTTTCACCTGAATCATAAATTGAAGGCAACTTTAAGAATATCCCTAGCCTTCTGGTAATGGATGCATTACATAAGGAGTGAATCACCATAGTGGTAATCTATTGAGATTTGGGGGTTGCTTGTCACTGCATCATAGTCTAGCCTATCTTGACTAATAAAAATATATTTTGCCTTATTGCAATTGTCACCATCTTTCCCCAAGAGTCTTAGCCCTTTATGTATCCCATGTTTCCTTCTGTCAGATGCCTAGAGTTTCTATCAACTTGGGAAAAGTTAAATATTCTTCAGCATCTTCAATATATCATTTTGTTGTTTACAGCATAGTACATGTTTACCATAGAGTATAGTAAATCATAATTCCTATATGATACTTTTCAGTATCAAATATTACACAGGCACATATCCCTTAAAAATTGTTTGAAGTATTCAAACTGAGGTAATTGGTGGTATTTTAAGTACCTGGTATTATGCAAAAATAATTGGTGTATGGTTATACTGTAGTCTGAGAAATTTGTAATGTTATTTGGAGAAATTGGTTGATATTTTATGATAGTATGGAGTTAATTATTAACTTATATTTAAATTAATCATATTTTCTGGTTTTCACTACTGAATACAATCAGAAATGCTTTGCAGTTCTTTACAAGGGATGCCTCTATTTTAAATTTATATCTGACAAGATATGCAAGTCAAGAATATAAGAAGTGTGAACAAAACATAGAATTAAATCATGATTGACAACTTTTGGTTCCAGAAACTAGGTGAAATATGCTTCATATACGAAGACAGGAAAGAATAGAATGAGAACTCTTGCAAGATGGGGGTCAAAAATAGTTTGCTTAAATATGCTACTTCCAAGTGAAATAGTGAGTAGGCATTTGGAGGTATGATTCTGTAACTAAGAAGGAGGTTGGGACTAGAGCTATAAATTTGAAGGTCATCATATTGTGATTGATATTTAATTTGAATAATATTGATATTTAGCCTTAGAACTATAGGCAAAAGGAGTACACAAGATGAGGAATTCATGAAGAAGAAGAGGTTTCTGCCAAGGAGACTGATACAAGTTTACCAATGAGGAAGCAGAAAAAGCAGGAAATATGGTGTTTTAAAGCAAGTTTTTTTGGAAGCAGACACTGACTTTTTGTTTGGGATTTAAGAGGTTTATTTTGGATTGACACCTGTGAAAGGAAAAATAAAGGAATAGGAGTCATATATATATGACTGATTATTGTGGCTCAAATATATAATCCTTGCTTAGTAAGTGAATGTGAGCAGCTTTGATAAGGGCTTAACAATCAGTTAAGCTAAGTAAAGACACAACAACTTGGTGGCACATTATTTCTGAAATTATCAGGTATGATCTTCCAGAAAACAAGAAAACAAACTACTTTAAGAAGGAAGTAAACTTCTCTTACTGGCGATATGGAATTCTAGATATTCTAAAAATCCACTTTGATTAAAGGAAAACTAGAAATATGATAAACTATAGAAAACATACTTTTAAGTGCATAATTGAACTAAAAAACAAGGGACATCCACGAGAGCAAAGAGGAAACACAAAACCTTAGAGGCACAAGTAAAATGGAAGGCATCACTACTCTAATTGCATTGTGAATCTCTGTAACCCAGAAATTTGTGTTTTAATGCTTTATTAGGGATTATATAAATAGACCTCTTACCACACATTTGAGGGTGCTGTAGTTTAGTCATCTACATAAAATTTATATAAAGGAGGGCATATATTCTGTGAAATGGTGGAACAGGAAACATAAACTAAGGAGACAACTATCATGACTTGGACTCTGAGGAAAAATTACTTAAGGTCTTAAAACCAGATCATGTTTTTTTAAATAAGGATTTGTGTTTTCAAATTTATCTTTGGGCATGGTCTGAGAAATCTCAAAAAGAGAAGCTAACGCCGTGACAGGCAGATATAAGAAGGATCATCAGAGTAAACCAAAGACAAAAGAAGGGAAATAGTAGAGAGCAAACATCGATGTAATAGAAAGCAATCATATAACAGAAAGAACTTTCTATTCTGATAAAGATGAACTAATAGTGACTGAATTTACCCTCCTGCCTGGAAACTAGAACCCAGCAGGAAATACATAAAAAAAACCATGACACGGAATATCAGGCAACAGTGTGCAGTAATCTCTGAGAAAGAAAAATAATAGTAAGTTGAATCCTATTATCGCTCCAATTTACTTCCTGGAAAAAAATCCAGGACACAACACAGGTATGGGAAGGTAAAACAGAGCCTAGCAACTTTATGAGTTGAGGAAACATTGTTGGGGGTCCAGAGACTCCAAGGCAGCTGGAGTTAATAAAAAATAGTGCCACAAAAAAATGGCCTGCATAGCAGCCTTCAGAAATAGTGCAAAAGTTCTCCTTTGGATCTTCATTACACTTCTCAAAAAAAGATATACAAATGGCCAAGAAACAGAAAAAAAAAAAAAGCCAAACACCACTAATAATCAGGAAAATGCAAATTAAAACTACAATGAGATGGGAACTGACCCCAGCCACAATGCCCATTATTAAAAAATCAAAAAACAACCGATGTTAGTATGGATATGACGAAAAGGGAATGCTTATACACTGCTGGTAGAAATGTAATTTAGTACAACCTCTATGGAAAAAAGTATGGAGACTTCTCAGAGAACTACAGGTAGATCTGTCATTCGATCCAGCAATCCCATTATTACTGGTTAACTGCCCAAAGAAAAATAAGTCACTATATCAAAAAGACACTTGCATGCATATGTTTGTCACAGCACAATTCACAAGTGCAAAGATATGGAACCAACCTTTGTGTCCATCAACTGAGGAGTGAATAAATAAAATGTAGTATACTTTTCCATGGAATACTACTCAGCCATAAAAAATGAAATGATGTATTTTATAGCAAGTTGGATGGAGCTGGAGCCCCTTCTTCTAAGTGAAGTAATTTAGGAATGAAAAACTTAATACTGTATGTTCTCACTTATCAGTGGGATCTAAGCTAAGGGTAGGCAAAAACATACACGACAGTGTAATGAACACTGAAGACTCAGAAGAGGAAAAAGTGGGAGGATGGTGGGAAATAAAAACCACATATTGGTTACAATGTACACTATCTGGGTGATTGGTACACCAAAATTTCAGACTTCACCACTATACAATTCATCCATGTAACCAAGAACCATCTGTATCCCAAAAGCTATTGAAATAAAAACATAGATATACAAAAATGTTTAAAAGAATGCACAGACTCCCATTGCTCTTGCTTAAAGTTTAGTTGTTTTTCTTAGTAGATACTTCTAAATCTATTTGTCTATTTAATTTCCAGAGCCCCATAATATTTGATTTGACAATTTTATTAAGTTTTATAATTGTTTTCATGGAAAGGATCTGTCGATCTCTTCACTCTCCCTTGTCTGGATGTCTCACTCTACCTTGTCATTTATTTTTCATTTTCTATATACAAATATAAAACATAGACTTCTGTGTTTGTGATCAGTGAGAGAAAATAATTTGCAATTTATTTATTTTCTATTTTCTTAATTCTTCATGGTTATGGCAACTAAAGCCAACAAATCAGCTTTTAAAAATTGTTGACTTACGGATCCAAGTAAACACACTTTTGCTTTTGGAATAGCATTGGAAAAACAATCCATGGCCTCATCAACTGTTTTTATTGCTTTCCTTCTATTTGTTTCTGTATTCAGATGCATCTTGTACATCAGATTCATTCCTTATTATTTTTAAAATCTGCCTCTTGGAGCCCTGGGTCCCATAGGAAGTACCTCAAAGGTGACCATTTTACATTACTTACTCTGCAATGGTGAGCAGTTAGATTACTGATCCTCACCCTTCTAATCAGAATAACTGTCTCTGTATGTTTTATGTGCTAAGTTTCCACATATAATTTTGTTAAAAGAAACAAAGAAACATTAAAAATGTTGCCTTAAATAAATATACTCATGGTTGGCGAGGCACAGTGGCTCACGCCTGTAATTCTAGCATTTTGTGAGGCCGAGGCAGAAGATCACTTGAGGTCAAGAGTTCAAAACCAGCTTGGCTAACATGGTGAAACTCGGTCTCTACTAAAAATACAAAAAATTAGCAGGGTGAGGTGGCGGGCACCTGCAGTCCCAGCTTCTCAGTAGGCTGAGGCAGGAGAATCGCTTGAACCTGGGAAGCGGAGGTTGCAGGAGCCGAGATGGTGCCACTGTACTCCAGCCTGAGTGACAGAGTGAGACACTATCTAAAATAAATAAACAAACAAACAAACTGATGGTTTATTTAATTGTTGAGAGTGCCATATGCATATAACTCCTATTATTGCTCTTGAACCTAAATAACTGTTCCTAGTAAATTCAAGCAGAAATCTAAAAGGGAAAAATAAAGGCAGTTTGTCCTGCCTCATCTCATTAAATAAAATTTGTTGCAAACACTGAATGCTTTGTGGCTGGTAAGTTCTTAAAGATAAACAGGAAGTGAGATTTAATTAAACTAAAGACCTCTGCACAGCAAGAGAAACTATGATTAGAGTGAACAGACAACCTACAAAACAGGAGAAAAATTTTGCAATCTATCCATCTGACAAAGGTCTAATATCCAGAGACTACAAGGAACTTAAACAAATTTACAAGAAATAAACAAATAACCCCATTAAAAACTGGGCAAAGAACACGAACAGACACTTCTCAAGAGAAGACATTTATGTGACCAAGAAACATATGAAAAAAAGCTCAACATCACTGATCATTAGATAAATGCAAATCAAATCCACAATGAGATACCATCTCATGCCAGTCAGAAACGTGACTTAAAAATCAAGAAACAACAGATGCTGGTGAGGTTGCAGGGAAAAAGGAACGCTTTTATGCTGTTGGTAAAAGTGTAAATTAATTCAACCATTGTGGAAGACAGTGTGTTAATTCATCAATCATCTAGAAGCAGAAATACCATTTCACACAGCAATCTCATTACTGGGTATATACCCAAAGGGATATAAGTCATTCCATTATAAAGACACATGAATGCATATATTCATTTCAGCACTATTCACAATAGCAAAGACATAGAATCGACCCAAATGCCCATCAATGATAGACTGGATAAAGAAAATGAAGTACACATGCACCAGGAATACTATGCAACCATAAAAAAGATTAAGATCATGTTCTTTGTAGGGACATGGATGGAGCTGGAAGCCATTATCCTTAGCAAACTAATGCAGGAACAGAAAACCAAACACTGCATGTTCTCACTTATAAGTGGGAGCTGAACGATGAGAACACATGGACACAGGTTGGAGGAGGAACAATACACCCTGAGGCATGTCGGTGGGGGCGTGGGAAGGGAAAGCATCAGGAAGAATAGCTAATGGATGCCTGGTGTAATACCTGGGTGATGGGTTTTTCTGTGCAGCAAACAACCATGGCACACGTTTACCTATGTAACAAAACTACACATCCTGCACATGTACCCTGGAACTTAAATAAAAGTTGAAGAAAAATAATAATAATAAAAGAAGAAAAATGTGAGGCTTTATAAGGTTATCCTTTTGAAAACTGATTTTAAAATTACTGAAAATCAAATTTTACCTATGTCAGAATAATCAACAGCATTTCGGCCTTGATTTGGTTCACTAATCTGTCATGCATTTTTTTGAATAAAAATGAATTAAACATGCATGATTAAATTATATGATATGGTTTAAATAAGATGAGAGAATATGAAAAATGCCTTTTAGGTAAATAATAGAAAATCACGTGAAGGACCTCTTCAAGGAGAACTACAAACCACTGCTCAATGAAATAAAAGAGGATACAAAGAAATGGAAGAACATTCCATGCTCATGGGTAGGAAGAATCAATACCGTGAAAATGGCCATACTGCCCAAGGTAATTTATAGATTCAATGCCATCCACATCAAGCTACCAATGACTTTCTTCACAGAATTGGAAAAAACTACTTTAAAGTTCATATGGAACCAAAAAAGAGCCCGCATCACCAAGTCAATCCTAAGTCAAAAGAACAAAGCTGGAGGCATCACGTTACCTGACTTCAAACTACACTACAAGGTTACAGTAACCAAAACAGGATGGTACTGGTACCAAAACAGAGATATAGATCAATGGAACAGAACAAAGCCCTCAGAAATAACGCCACATATCTACAACTATCTGATCTTTGACAAACTTGACAAAAATAAGAAATGGGGAAAGGATTCCCTATTTAATAAATGGTGCTGGGAAAACTGGCTAGCCATATGTAGAAAGCTGAAACTGGATCCCTTCCTTACACCTTGTACAAAAATCAATTCAAGATGGATTAAAGACTTACATGTCAAGCCTAAAACCATAAAAACCCTAGAAGAAAACCTAGGCATTACCATTCAGGACATAGGCATGGGCAAGGACTTCATGTCTAAAACACCAAAAGCAATGGCAACAAAAGACAAAATTGACAAATGGGATCTAATTAAACTCAAGAGCTTCTGCACAGCAAAAGAAACCACCATCAGAGTGAACAGGCAACCTACAAAATGGGAGAAAATTTTCGCAACCTACTCATCTGACAAAGGGCTAATATCCAGAGTCTACAATGAACTCAAACAAATTTACAAGAAAAAAACAAACAACCCCATCAAAAAGTGGGAGAAGGACATGAACAGACATTTCTCAAAAGAAGACATTTATGCAGCCAAAAAAACACATGAAAAAATGCTCACCATCACTGGCCATCAGAGAAATGCAAATCAAAGCCACAATGAGATACCATCTCACACCGGTTAGAATGGCAGTCATTAAAAAGTCAGGAAACAACAGGTGCTGGAGAGGATGTGGAGAAATAGGAACACTTTTACACTGTTGGTGGGACTGTAAACTAGTTCAACCATTGTGGAAGTCAGTGTGGCGATTCCTCAGGGATCTAGAACTAGAAATACCATTTGACCCAGCCATCCCATTACTGGGTATATACCCAAAGGACTATAAATCATGCTGCTATAAAGGCACATGCACACGTATGTTTATTGCGGCACTTTTCACAATAGCAAAGAGTTGGAACCAACCCAAATGTCCAACAATGATAGACTGGATTAAGAAAATGTGGCACATATACACCATGGAATACTATGCAGCCATAAAAATGATGAGTTCATGTCCTTTGTAGGGACATGGATGAAATTGGAAATCATCATTCTCAGTAAACTATCACAAGAACAAAAAACCAAACACCGTGTGTTCTCACTCATAGGTGGGAATGGAACAATAAGAATACATGGACGCAGGAAGGGGAACATCACACTCTGGGGACTGTTGTGGGGTGGGGGGAGGGGGGAGGGATAGCATTAGGAGATATACCTAATGCTAAATGACGAGTTAATGGGTGCAGCACACCAGCATGGCACATGTACACATATGTAACAAACCTGCACATTGTGCACATGTACCCTAAAACTTAAAGTATAATAATAATAAAATAAAATAAAAAAAGATTATAATTTTATATATACTATATATTAAGAATAAAAATATGTATTGTATATATAATTTTATATATACTGTCTATTAAGGATAAAACATCATAAAATGTTTTATGGAATCTTTATCTAGTGATCTTTAATATAGCGTATGTGCTACAGTCTTGACTTAGTTATTTTTAAAGTAAATATTATTTTATGTTTTTATTTGGAGTATGTTAGTAAGCTTGCACAAAGAGGAAAAATAAAAGTACATTTAAACTTTGACTAACCTAAATTCGTAATCAAGGTGGAGGTTCTTAAAGTTAAAATAGTGGTTTATCAAAGATTATGAAGAAAAGCCACTTTTTTTTTTCTTTGTTTGCCCTTTTTCAAATCTAAGGTGTGTTAAAAACATCTCTGGGAACATTTTTTTTAAACACTCAACTTCCTTGAAGGTAAAATATTGTGCCACTGGGTTTTCATCCTGAGTATTACTTTGAATTGTTCAGAACTAGATGTATGTGATAATTAAGGTTTCTATTTTTTTAAGTGTCATGGTTATCTAAGAAAATGGTAGTTTATTTTTTTTAAATGGTGATTTAAGGAAAATAGGGATGACCACATATAATGGTAGCTCATTTCTTTTACTTTAGAGAAGCTGTTCTCAAATTTTATTACATAAAAGAATCATAAGACATGCTCATTAAAAATACAGTTTTCTAAAGTTTTCCATTGCAGGTTTCTAATGAAAGAGTTTGAGTCCCAGAAACTTGCAATTTTTGAAAAGCACCTTAGAAATTTATATATGCATGGTCATCCAACCCTATTATTTTTTTAAAAGATGGGGAATTGCCATGCTGCCCAGGCTGGTCTTGAACTCCTGGCCTCAAGAAATCCTTCCACCTCAGCTTCCCAAGTTTCTGGAATTGCACGTGTGAACCATAGTGCCTGTCTCTCCAACTCTGTTTTGAGAACCACTGATTTCAAAACAACTGAAAATATTTTCTCAGACTGCTAATACAAAGTAATATTGCCTTTCATTATGTATCAGTGGAAGAAATTTGATTCATTTCATGGGTGTCTGGACTCTGATTTGAGTCAACAATTTCATTTCAAAATATTTATTGAGTGCCTACCATGTGACAGGCAAATTTCTAGCTTTGGAAATAGAGCAATGTAGGGTTTCATTTTAGTGGAGCAATACAGACATAACAAATATGTAGATTTTATAATATTATAAGACATTAAAGGATATGAAGTAATAAAATAAAAGAGGGACAGAGTATAAAAATGTTTAGGTAGATTTAAAAATGTAATGAGAGTCATTCAAAAAGGTCTTGTTGAGGTGAATTTTAAGCAAAGACTTGAAAGAGAAAATCTATTGAGCCATGTTGATATCTTGTGGAAATTTATTCCAGACAGAGGGAATAAAAAGAACAATAACTAGGAGTCAAGATGTCTCTTGGCATACTGTAGGAATAGCAAACTTGCTTGTGTGAACAAGTGAACAAAGGCAAATAGCATGAACAAGAGGGAAAGGATTTAAGATGAGGTCGGAAAGTTATGAGCTTAAAAAGTTGGAAGGTGAGGTAAGGTCTTGTAGGTCCCTGCAAGGACACTGTCTTTTACTTGAAATCAGATGTGACATTATTAATAGGTTTTGAGCAGGGAAGTGATTTGACATGATTTGCTATACTTTATCAAGGTCCCTCTAACTGCTGTTTTGAGAATACATTAAATGTGTGGGAGGGGAATGGGTGGAAGCAAGGAGATGAGCTACATCATGGTAAAACCTCCAGATTTTGGAAGGCTGTGGTGGCATTAGTATTAATATCATGAATTCCAGTCCATCTTGTAGTTGCAATTCAAATTCATTGACGAAGGTAAAATTCAAAGTAAGAAATTGCTGGGAGTAAGTATGTTAGAGAGCATACTTATTGTCTTCAGCTATATGAAAAAATCTTAAAATAACACCCTAAATAAACCTAATTCTGAAACACCAAACCATTGGCATATTGCACTGTTTTGCAAAGAGAATACAAAATGATAGACAATTCTACTAATTGCCACTGAAACGTACCTTTATGTTACAGGACTACAATCTCAACCTAAACTTGACAGGTGTATGCCATGAAAGACTGCTATTATGATCAAAAGGTTAATAACATTTCAGCAACATCATAAATTCTCAGGATTATGTAGTTCAGCATATGGGCCTGCAAAAGATGATGTCAGTCTCAAAACCACTACAGCGTGGAAATGACTTCATTGAGCAATACAGATGGATTCATTCTAGTATTGTAAAGTCAACATAGTTGAACACTGGCTACATCACAGTATACATTACTGTAGTCTGGATCAAGTTGTGATGAAGTAATTTCCCTTAAGTTTAGTACTTAGAAAACCTATAGGGTGATCTCCTTGGACTTGATTTGAGAGCAGCCTTCCATTCACCTACTGCTAAGTAAATTGACTTTTATCAGCTGCACATGGATATGTATAATTTGGAAGAATTTCAAATGAGATCCATATGGTTTGTAGCATTCTATGCTCAAATTTTGGATGCATGAAGTGAGATTCAATTTTTTGGTACAGGTGATGGAATTAATAACAAAGAATATAACACTCAATGTGAAAACCTACAAATAAAGAGAAGCACTAGGTAGCAGTAATTTTAATAATGCTTCTTTCCCCTTTGCAGTGGGGTCACACCCTTGCCACTTCATTCTTGTCACTCAGATTCCAAATTCTCTAAAAACGTTAGTATAGGACACATGTTTAAAATTCCTTACTGACCAGTTAAATTCAGGGAATAAATGATACAATTGAAACTTAGTGTCATAATTAATACTGAATATCATGATTTAAAATTACACGTGACATATTTTAGGTTCTCAGAAGAGATGCAGTTTTCCAATGTCAAGCCTAAATGAAAGCATATAAACATCAGTGGAACAAACTCATTTTTCAAGTATATTTCTTCTGTAATAGACATAAGCAGCAACATTCTCATGTAACTCCTATACTATTTATTTGATATTTGAGACAAAATTTAATTATTTTGAATGAAAATAAATAGCATATTTTAAGAGTTTGACCATCTATGCATATTACCTTAACCATTTAAATAACACAATGCAGATGATTCGCCAACATAGAAAGATGAGAGAAAAAGACTGTACAGTGTGATACAACGTTATTAGTTCTTGTATATTAAAACCTTGACTTTGAACATTAGCTGTGAGAATGCAGGCATTTCTCAGAAGTCTATTTCACATATCTGTTTTTGTAATGCATGTGTTTCTACGAGCATAATTGTACATAATCTAAGTTATTGAATTTTGAATTTTAAAAAGGTTTTATTCCTACTGGAAAAAAATCATAGTACTTTTCATTTGTTCCTACAACAGCATGAGTTACTTACTACTATTCTCCCGAGTTTTCCAATGAAAAAACAAACTCAGAGATTACTTAACTTGCCCAAGTTTAAATAGTTGGTAAATCATAAAGCCAGAACACAAAACAAGGCAGATTGTCACCAGCTTGTTTTACTTAATCACTGTGTAATAGAAAACATTCATACCTTTGTGCATTATGTATCTTGCCAACATCCTTTGTGTAATTATCACCCTAGCAAATAGTTTCCCTCTTCTTCAAAAAATTAAATTTTAACTTATTTTAGAGTCAAAAGCAGCATATGTAGGTGACCATGAGTATGATGTTTAATTTGCATAATATTTTAATTCTGCTAAAATTGTTTGCAAATTTCTAAATGTTGGTAGTCAACTAATTTCTATGTTCTATTGTTTTTGTCTCTTTAATGAGAATACTAACACTCATTCCACATTTATGTTGCTAAATGGAACTCAATGCTTTTGTGACTAGTCTACCTATTTCATAGATTTATATTTCAGTTGATTTTTTAGAATTTACTTGGGCAAACAATAAATATTTAGTAAGCACTTACTATATGCAATACATTGTGCCAGTTTTAGTGTATAATACAATGACAAAAAGAGACGGAATTACTTTCTTGAAGGATATGAATGTCTAGAGGAATTTGACTTCTATAAAAACATATTTGTGATATAAAGAAGACTCCAAAATGTACTAAAATAGAGGCACAACATGTTTTTTTGTGCATTCTGAAAAGAAATATTAGATTTAGATATGTAAATAAAAAATAAATTCTATGGAAGGGATGGTATTTGGGCAGAAAATGGAAGCACTGATAAGATTAAGAGGCAGCGCTAGGCCAAAAGAGCGTTCCCTTTGGAGGGAGCAATATGAGCAAATGAAAAGAAACAGTAAACATGCAAACTCTGTAGAAATTGAAGTTATGTAATCTAATTGTATCATAGTCTATGCGAGGAGGAGCAATGGAGAAATTAAATTCGGAAAGTATTTTGGGCCTTGAATGACACCCAATGGTGCTTGCACTTTATTTTTGATCAATAAACTATTATTAAATTATTTCAGCAGAAAATGAAATGATTAAACCTGTGCTTTAGAAATTAATTATCCCCAATTTGGTTGTCATAGTGGCTGAAATAACTGAACCACATGTAGGTTTCTTTGCCATTAATATGAATAAATTGTATGAACCGATGTGCAGTTGAGCCATTGCTTATTATTAAACTGTAATAACAGAAACACTCAGAGACAGTGAAATTGGTAGTGGTAGCTTCAAATTTTCCATGCCTTTGAAACAGAAAAATTGAAGCCTAGATGAAATTACTTTAGTTCCAAAATCTACTTATACAGTATTTTACTAATGTTTGCCCATGTAGAACTTGCAACTTAGTGTATTTACCTGTGTACTTTTCTCACTTAAAAGGATGTATTGCTATGATTCTGAACATAAATATGAGAATATTTTATATTTAAACCTCCCATTAAACGTTTCTAAATGGATTGATATGTATAACCATTTCATAACCACAACAACCCTATAAGGTAGACAGGCAGGCGTGATTACTTTTAGTTCAATGGTCAAAGAAACGGAGACTTGAAAGGGTTAAGGGACTTGTCAGAAGTCACTTGATTTATTACTATTAGGGTTGGAACAAAAGTCAGATCTCTTTTCTTTGAGTCCAGTGCTTTTGCTATTGCACAAAAATGCTGCTTCTTCCAGTAGAAAACCATTCAAACTTCAGTACATTTAAAGTACATAAAAACTTAATACAAACCAAGTACAAAATGTTTAATGTAACATTAAAAAATTAGTTGAAGGAGTAATGCCCCCATAACTGAGATGTTTAAACATTTCATTGAAATATCTTTAGTATGTACTTTCCATAGTTCATTTCAGAGCATTACTTGAGGATTTAGCTGCATAATGAATGGATATTGGGCAATTTTACAGTTATCTTTATCAGATTACATAATTCTTTTCATGTGATTTATCTAAATTATCCAGATTAGCTGTCTTAATTTATCAAGGGATCTGTACAATTGTTAAATTTTCAGCTCATTTGGTGCTTTATGGACACAGTAAAAGTTGCATTTCATGTTATGCATGCAGTGAAGAAAAAAATGTATCTTTGAATAAGAAGGCTGGCAGAAATTATGTGACAATTGGTAAAAAAAAATTGAACAAATGTGGCGTTCTTTCTTTTAGTGGACTGTGTCCTCATGCTCAAAATAAAACAATCTTTGACATCTCTCTGGCAGTGGTTTCAAAGCAGGTGGTTTGACTGTGTAATGACACTCAGGAACAGCCAACAAAATTGTAAAGGAGTTGAGCTTTATCTCTCTTCCTTCTTTTCTATATCCTCTACCCCTTCTCTTTCAGGGTCTCTTTCTCCAAGGGACCCATTAGTCTCAGGCTATTTCAATTCAAACTGGCCTTAGCAACTCATTTTTTTTTCACTTGAGAAGAACTGATTGCTTTTACTCTCATAAATATTTGTTTTAAAACCAGAACCCAAAATTCTAGTCATAAGTAAAGTCATATTGCTGAGCATGGATAGGTTATTTTCTACTACAGCTCAGTTATTGCAAAGCACAGAAATTGCAGTAAATAATTGGCATAACTGATACCAAGTATACGATGGAAAATGGTGACTGCAATGTCAAAGTAAAAATGCTTGGAGTATACCATCAATTTCTATGTAATAAGACACCATCATCCTAGTCTCATGTGAATATGCTCATGTCTTTAAATCATCTTGCATATGTCTGTTCTCTGGTGTCTATACCCAGTGGTGAAGGCAACTGGATCAATAAAAAGCAGTCAAGTTATCAAGTAAGTCATTAAACAAAATTTTCAAGGACCTGGGCTCTTGCCCTTTCGGCTGACACATGACAACAATATCTTATTCCCAGCTCTTCCCTAATTCATGGGCTTAGAATTTCTGACCCTCTTTTTATTTGTTACCCAATCATTTAAGAGCAAATTACTCATCTGGTTGTTCAGTCAAAACAATGTCTACTGGACTCTATATAGTCCCTGATGCCCTGTTTTTTCTTCCATTGCCTGTTTGGGTTATAATCTGATTCTGATTCTGCCATATCACAGAATACCTGAAGCAAATCTGGAAGAAATAAAGTGAACACTAATGAGACAAGAGACACAAGGCTATCTTCCAGTATAAATAAGTTTTCTGTGAGGGGGACACCTGGTCATGTGTGGGGCATTTAGGCATTAGGCCCTCCACCACAATAAAGAAATGTCCTGTGAAAGGCACATTGTAAACATTCACAATCATCTTCCCTGGAGTCCCATCATGGCAGGGCTAGAGTTTATCACCACCCTTGATAGGGAGACTTCAAGACCAAATTAGAGGAAAATACAACACCTAGTATAGTATAGAAGAATAGCATGATTTCAGTTTAAAATGGTTCTATACTAATCAAGAAGGTTTCCTCTATGTCAATTCAAATGTTCTATAATAAACCAGGGTTGCATTTCAGAGTGGAGATGGGATTTATTATTTTTTGTTAAGTAATAGTTATATAGAATACATGCATATTTGTGATCACTGTTATCTATTTGCAAGCTATCTATTTATGGCAGAGACTATTATTTGTGCCCAACTATATATTCACATTTCTTTCCATTATAATAAGACCTCCATTCTGGCTGTTTAGAATAAAAACTATATTTCCCAGTCTCCTTTGTAGACACATGTGGTTGTGTGATTAGGGTCTGGCAAAAATGGTTATAAGTGGAAATGGTGGATGGCAGCTTTCTTAGCATGCACACTTTATTCTTTTCTTCTTCTTTTTCCCCTTATCCTTCCTGCTGGCTAGAATGCAGATGTAATGACTTGAGGATGGAGGCAATACAAAGTGAAGCATTAGTATAAAAGGATTCTGAATCCTTGAAAACTTCATGAGTCAAAGCTGCCTACCAGTCTTGTACCACTTAAAGTCACATTTTCACAGAAGAGAAAAATAAACCTCTAACTTACTTCAGCCACTACTTTTCAAGTCTCTACTGGTCATCTTAATCCTAATTGAATTTAAATTTGAGCTGGCCTTAGCCAGTTTGATCTGTATCTTGGTCTGTATCTCATATATAATAGAACTACATGAAAGTTTCCATCATGAGTTTAGAAAGTACAGTTGACCCTTGAGCAATATAGGGGATGAGGTACCAACTTCTCATGCAGTTGAACATTTATGGGTAACTTTTGACTTCCCAAAAATGTAACTACTAATAGTCCACTATTGACCAGAAGGCTTACTGGTAACATAAGCAGTTTATTAACATGTTTTATGTTATATGTATCATATACTGTATTTTTACAATAAAGTAACCTAGAAAAAATAAAAAGGTTATTAAGAAAAGTATAAAGAAGAGAAAATATTTTTATTATGTATTAAGTAGAATTGGATCATCATAAAGGTTTTCATTCTTATTGTCCTCACGTTGTGTAGGCTAAAGATGTAACAGTGAGAAGGCAAAAGAACTAACACAACCCACTTCATTTTTGTTTAAAGGGCCTTTACCCATTCCTGCACGTAGGCTAGGCTAATTTTAGAGTACCAACATAATATGCAAAAACAATTATCATGTAGTTTTAAAAACTATCCCTGGGTTTTAAAAAAGTATGTAAACAACTATGATTTGTTAAAGATTTACAGAAATATTGTGACCTGATCAATAACAAAGAAGTTCCCAAACTTCTCAGACCCTTACTGGTGCCCAGATGTCTGCAGTACTCAGTAACCCCTTGATTCTAATGCAAGAACATAGTTTCCTCTATCCTCCCTCACATAAATACCCTCTGGCCAGGCTAAAAAATGTAAGATCATACTTGTAAATGCTATTTCACCGTCTTCTCAGTTTTGCTGGCTTTCCAAATAAAACTGCTTTTCTTCTCATCAAATTTCATCTTCTGTGTTTGGCTTTCCAGTGGTGAGCAGCTGAACCTGGATTTGGGTACAAGGAAAAGGAGGAAAAGGAGGGATTGGTCTTGCTGTCTTGAGGTTGAAGAGGTGGAAAAGATGGAAGAGGAGGCTAAAAAGGCAGGCACAGTCAGAGTAACTTTTGTTGACAAAAATCTGCTTATAAATGGAACCACTCAGTTCAAACCCATTTTGTTCCAGGGTCAGCTGTGTAGTTTTACTATTTAATTGCAAAGACACTGGTGTTAAACCAGCTTGAGTCAAATCTTAGCTGTGGCTCTGCTAGCAAAATTACTTCTCCAAGTGACAGTTTACACATCTATAAAAAGGCATTTTAATAATACCTGTCTTTCCAGGATTGTTGTGGAAATAAATTTAAGAAATAAATTTTAAAAATTAATATAATGGGATTCCATATAGATGGCTCGATGTACATTACATACTGGTGTGATTGGTTTCCTAAACTGCTGCTTTAATACGTCTGAAACTCTCTCCATCACGAAGAAAAATCACAGTAATTGCTTTGCCTGAAAATTATACTTGCAATACAAATTCCTAAATATTCTGATGGTATGCCTTATGACACACCCAAATTTGCATCTGTGAGGATTTTTTTTATCACAGCCTTTAAAAAACTATTTGGGTATCCAAAAGTTCTTCATTTAGTAATTGCTTACATGTTTTAATAAATATTGTAGAATTTACCCCAATTTTGAGCTTTTAATTCAAAGTTGTTCTGAGATTATTTTCCAATTTTCATTCTGTCCAATGCCTGTTATGTTATTACATGATTACTGTAATGTAATAGAAATAATGTCTTAATTTAATTACCATTGAGTGTTACTACATGTGATTTAGGAATTGCTGTAACATCAAACCTCAGCAAGATGAGATAATAAATGGTTTTCAGTTATAAATATGAATTTACTTGACATTTAGTTCTGTGCTATTTTAGTAGTTTTTTCAGTTTTTATAAAATACATGTAAAGATCCAAAATAAGAGAAAACAGTAGAAGAAACCAAACATCAGAACAAGAAGCTTGTTCCACATAAATCTATTGAGTTGATATTGAGTTAATGATGTAAAAGATGTGTTATTAGATATTGCCCATGCCTATTCTATTGTATTTTTTATTCAGGAAATATTTACATCTATTTTTAAAATTTAGTGCTGAAATGAAAATTATGATTTAGAAAAAAGGAGGTATTTTATTACTCTTAATACTATGTAGCTGTCTCTTCATTATAACTTGTAATAGAGCCCAACTTTATATACTGGCTTTATATCTCACTAGTTAATAACACATACTTTAAAATTGTGAGGGTAAGAGCCAAGATGGCTGACTAGACACAGACAGGAGAGCTTCTCTCACCAAGAGACCAGATCATCAAGAAGCCCAGTGCACTCCAAGGAGATCGTCGGAAGAAAGTCATTAAGAGTGGACTGAGGGAGGAGGCAGACACTGGGCTAAAGGGGTAGAAAGCTGAGAACCCTGCACAGGGTTGCAAGCACCAGGACTCATTTTTGGCTCTGATAAGCTCCTGGAAAAGGGTGGAGTTAAATAGGCATGGAATGGTCCACTCTTTCCACAGATCTCCAGAATTCTAGCTGCAGGGAATCATAAGATTCCCACAGACATTTAAGCTAGATAGAAGAGCTGCTTAAAGAGTTGGCAGGAAAAAAACTTTAGCCTGTGTAAAGCCCAGACGGTTTAACAGAAACAGCGGCAGTGTAGTATGGCCAGGGATACCCATTCTCCAAGACTCACCATGCTCCTCTAGGTGGCTCTGGCCTTTGTTGACTCTCATACACAGACAGAAAAGAGATATATTAACCATGGGATGGGGTCACTCTGATTAGAGTAACCCTATTTGCTGGCCTCTTCCAGGGTCCCTGCCTGTCTGCACCCACTTGCAGTGCAACCACAGATGCACAATCAGGGTCCTTCCCAGTGGCAACTGCTATAGCTCCTTCACTGGCAGATCCTGCCTAACAATCAGAGAGCTTCTGCAGAAGGGCCCCTGCCAGCATACACTCAATCACAGCCTCCTCTCACCAATTTAAAAACACACACTTGGCTGGTGGTGGTGGTGGGTCACGACTGTCATCTCAGCACTTTGGGAAGCCGAGGCGGGTGGATCACCTGAGGTCAGGAGGTCGAGTCAATTCTGGCCAACATGGTGAAACCCCATCTCTACTAAAAAAAATTTTAAAAATTAGCCGGAGGTGGTGGCACATGCCTGTAGTCCTAGCTACTTGGGCAGCTGAGTCAGGAGAATCGCTTGAATCCAGGAGGCAGAGGTGGCATTGAGCCAAGATCATGCCACTGCACTCCAGCCTGGGTGACAGAGTGAGATTCCGACTCAATAAAAAATAATAAAATAAAATAAAATAAAATAAACACACACTCATCTGCAGCCTTCCCTCACCACTTTGCCAGGGTGCATGTGCATGGATTCTGCTGCCCCACTGCCACTGGAGGCATGTATACATGCTTACCCCGTTGAGCTGCCACCCTGCTGCCACTGGCACATGTGTGTGAGCACAGACCTTACTGCCACTGCCCCAATAAAGTGTTTTTGTTAGTATTCCCCATTAGAATGTTGTGTCGCCTTACCAGGAACACCTTGTTTCCTCCAGTGCAGAATATACTTAACCTCAAGAGGCCAGAGAACAACATTGTGAGCCTGGTCCCAGCCTCTTGGGGTTAGAGCATGCAGTCCAGGAGTGCTGAAGGAAGACTTGACACCCTGAAATTGTCCAGAAACAAAGCCAGTCAGCTGAACTCAACTTACACCACAGTCAAGCCCTCAAATGCATCAGAGATTATAAAGGCAAAAAGCCACATCCAAAGAATAGCAACTTCAAATATTAAAGGAACATGAGCCCACAGAGATGGAGGAAAAAAAGTGCAAGAACTCTGGCAATTCAAAAACCCAGAGTGTCTTCTTGCCCCCCGAACAGCTGCATTAGCTACCCAGCAACGGTCTTTAAGCAGACCAAAATGGCTGAAATGACAGACATAGAATTCAGAATCAGTATGGCAACAAAGACTACCAAAATTAAGAAGAAAGTAGAGCCGGGCGCGGTGGCTCACACCTGTAATCCCAGCACTTTGAAAGGGCTAAGTGGGCGGATCACCTGAGGTCGGGAGTTTGAGACCAGCCTGACGAACATGGAGAAACCCCGTCTCTACTAAATATACAAAATTAGCTCGGCGTGGTGGTGCATGCCTGTAACCCCAGCTACTTGGGAGGTTGAGGCAGAAGAATCACTTGAACCGGGGAGATGGAGGTTGCGATGAGCCGAGATCGCGCCATTGCACTCCAGCTTGGGCAACAAGAGTGAAATTCCATCAAAAAAGAAAAGAAAAAAAAAAAAGGAGAAACCAAATACAGGAAATGTAAGGAATTCAGTAAAATAATACAAAGCTGAAAAACAAAATAGCCATTTTAAGTAAGAACCAAATTGATGTGATAGAGCAGAAAAATTTAGTACAAGAATTTTATAATAAAACTGCTGGTATTAACAGTAGAATAGTCCAAGCTGAGAAAAGAATCTCAGATTTCAAAGACTGGTTATTTGAATAAATTCCGTCAGACAAAAATTTAAAAAATATAAAAAAACATGAACAAAACCTCAGAGAAATATAAAGTTATGCATAGAGGGCAAACCTAAAAATCATTAGTGTCCTTGAAAGAGAGAGAGAGCAAGCAACTTGGAAAACATATTTTAGTATATTTTCCATGAAAAATTTTCCACCTTCAGTTGATAGATAAACATTCAAATTCAGGAGATTCAGAGAACTCTTTCGAGATATTATACAATATGATTATCTCCAAGACCCGAAATCGTCAGATTCTCCAATGTAAAAACGAAAAATACAAAATAGAGACAGCTAGAGAGAAGAGACGGGTAACCCACAAAGAAAACCCATCAGGCAAACAGAAAGCTTAACAGCCAGAAGAGAGTGGAGGCTTATGTTCAGCATTATTAAAGAAAAAGAGTTTTAACAAAGAATTTTATATCCAGCCAAATTGACACAAACAAGGGGGAGACAAGACATCTTACATACAAGCAAATGATAAAGGAATTCATTGCCACCAGACCTGCTTTAAAAGAGATCCTTAAGGGAGTGCTAAACATGGTAAAGAAAGATGGTTCCTGGCTACCACACACACAAAAATGTATTGAAATACATAGACCGACACTATAAAGCAAGTACACAATCAAGTCTACATAACAGCCAATTAACAACATGATAGCAGGATCAAATCCACAAATATCAAATTAACTTTCAATGTAAACAAGCTATATGTCCCACTTAGAAAGCGCAGAGTGGCAAGTTGGGTAAAGAAGCAAGACTGAAATGTATGTTGTTTTTCAAAACACCCATCTCATATGCAATAACTCACAAGCTCAAAGTAAGGGGATGGAGAAAGATCCATCAAGAAAATGGAAAAGAAAACAGAGTAGGTGTTGGTATTTTGATTTCAGAAAAAAAGCAGACTTTAGCAATAAGCATTTATGACAAAGAAAGGCATTTCATAATGATTAAGGGTTCAATTGAACAAGAAGACTTCACTCTACTAAGTACATATGCACCCAAGACTGGAGCATCTGGGTTCAAAAAGCAAGTTTTTGGAGACCTACAAAGAAACTTAGGTAACCACACAATAACAGTGGGAGAAATTAACACCCCACTGACAGAATCAGACAGATCGTTGAAGCAGAAAACTGACAAAGATATTTAGACCCTAAACTCCATGTTTGACCAAATGAACCTGAAAGACATCTACACAACACTCCACCTAATAACAACAGATTATACGATCTTCTCATCTAAACATGGCACAGACTGTAAAATTGAGCACAAGCCCAGCCATAAAGCAATTCTCAATAAGTAAAAAAATGATCTAAGAGTGCGGTTGATATAATTTTGTGTTAAGAGGAAAGTCTGTAGTGCTAAATGCCCACATCAAAACGTTAAAAATATTTATAATTAAAAACAATATCAAACGTTGAGGACCTAGAAAAGCAAGAGTAAACTAACTTCAAAGCTAGCAAAATAAAAGAAATAATCAAACTTAGAACAGGCTTAATATAATGGATACTAAAAAAAAAATCAAGAAAACCAAAAGTTATTTATTTGAAAGAATGAATAAGATTGATAGACGACTAGCTAGACAAAGAAAAAAAGGGAGAAGACTCAAATAACCAAAATTAGAAATGACAAAGGGGACATTTCCTCTTTCTCCACAGAAATACACAATTCCTCAGAGAATATTATGAATACTTCTGTGCAAACAAACGGGAAAACTTAGGAAAAATGAATAAATTCCTGGAAACATACTATCTCCCCATATTGAACCAGGAAGAAATGGAAACAGTGAACAGACCAATAATGAGTTCCAAAATTAAATTATAATAAAAAGCCTATGAACAAGAATGAGTCCTGGACAAGATGGATTAACAGCCAAATTCTGCCAGGTGTATAAAGAAAAACTGGCACCAACCATACTAAAATTATTCCAAAGTAATGAAAAGAAGGGACTTCTTCTTAGCTTATTTCATGAGGCCAACATCATTTGGATAACAAGACCTGGCAGAGGCACAGTAACAACAAAGAAAAGATACCTTCAGGCCAATATCCTTGATGAACATAGATGCAAAAATTCTCAACAATATACTAGCAAACCAAATCCAGCAGCACATCAAAAAGCTAATCCACCACAATAAAGTAGCCTTTTTCTATGAAATGCAAGATTGGTGCATTTCAACCTTTTGCATATGGTGACATATGCAAATCAATAAATCTGATTGATCACAAAGTGAACTAAAGCCAAAAGATATATACTTACCTTAGATGCAGAAGAAGCTTTAAATAACATTCAAAATCCCTACATGTTAAAAATATCTCAACAATTTAAGAATCAAAGGCACATACCTAAAAATAATAGGAGACATCTAAGACCAACATACAGCCAATCTTATACTGAATAGACAAAAGCTAAGAGCATTAGCTACTGGGAACTGGAATAAAACAAGGATACCCACTCTCACTACTCTTATTCAGCATAGTACTGGAAGTGTTAGCTGGAGCACTCAGGAAAGAGAAAGAAATAAAAGGCATTCGAAGAATAAGAGATGAAGTCACATGATCTCTCTTCAAAAACAACATGATTCTATATAAAGAAAACCCTATAGTCTCTGCCCAAAGGCTCCTAAATCTAATAAAGAACTTTGGCAAAGCATCAGGATACAAAATCAACATACAAAAATCAGTAGCATTTGTATACACCAATTACATTCAAGCTGAGAGCCAAATCAAGAAGGCAATTCCATTCACAATAGCCACAAAAAGAATAAAGTATCTAGAAATAGAGCTTTCTTGGAAACTAAAAAGTCTCTACAACAAGAATTACAAAACACTTTTGAATAAAATCAGATGGCACAAAAAATAAAAAAGCATTTGATATGGTTTGTCTGTGTCCCCACCCAAATTTCATATTGAATTGTAGTTCCCATAATCCCCACGTGTCATGTGAGAAACCACGTGGAGATTAATGAATCATGGGTGCAGTTTCCCCCTTCCTGTTCCCATGATAGTGAGTTAGTTCTCATGATAGGTCATGGTGGTATAAGGGGCTTCCCCCTTTGCTAGGAGCTCATTATCTCTTCTGCTGCCTTGTGAATAGGTGCCTTCTGCCATGATTGTGAGTTTCCTGAGGCCTTCCCAGTTATGCAGAACTGTGAGTCAATTAAACCTCTGTTCTTTATAAATTACCTAGTCTCAGGTATTTCTTCATAACAGCATGAGAACGGACTACTACAGTATTTCATGTTCATGAATAGAAAGAATCAATATTGCTAAAATGGTCACTCAGCCCAAAGCAATTTACAGATTCAAATCAAAGACATTGTCTTTCTTATCAAACTACAAATGACATTTTTTACAGTTAGAAAAAAAAAAACTATTCTAAAATTTTATAGAACAGAAAAAGAGCCTAAGTAGCCAAAGTAATTCTAAGCAAACAGAATAAAACTTGAGACTTCACACTAACTTCAATCTATACTGCAAGTCCACAGGAAATAAAACAGTATGCTACTGGTACAAAAAACAGAAATATAGACCAAAGGAACAGCTTAGAGTAACATGAAATAAAGTCACACACCTACAATCATCTGAGCTTTGACAAAGATGACAAAAATAAGCAACGAGAAAAAAACTCCATATTTAATAAATGGTGCTGGGATAACTGACTAGCCAGATGCAGATATTAAAACTGGACTATTTCATTTCATCATATACAAAAATCATCTCCAGATGAATTGAAGACTTAAATATAAAACCTAAATCTATAAAAACATTGGAAGAAAACCTAGGATATTATTATTCTGTACATAGGCCCTGGCAAAGGTTTTGTGACAAACACTCCAAAAGCAATCACAAAAAAAGTAATTAGCAAGAGGGAACTAATTACATTCAAGAGATTCTGCACAGGAAAAAAAACTATCAACAGAGTAGATAGACTATCTCAAAATGAGTGAAAGTATTTGCAAACTAGGCATTGGACAAAGGTCTAAATCTAAAAGAAACTTAAATAAACAAGCAAAAAAAAAATAATAATAAGCCCATTAAGAAATGGGAAAATGACATGAAAAGCTACTTCTTTAAAGATGACTTAGATGTGGCCAACAAGGAAAAAAAACAGCTGAACATCACTAATCACTAGTTAAATGCAAATGAAAACCACAATGACATACCATATTGCAAAAGTCAAAATGGCTATCATTAAAAAGTCAAAAAAGACAGATAGGGGTAGAAAGTTTATTAAAAGAGCTCATAACAGGTAACTTCTCAGACCTAGATAAACATACAAATATTCGAGTACAAAAAGGTTATAGAACACCAAGCAGATTTAACCCAAAGACCATTTGAAGGCATTTAATAATCAAACTTTCAAAAGTGAAGGATAAAGAAAGGATCCTGATAGAAAAATTCCAGGTCGGTGGGAGGAGCCAAGATGGCCGAATAGGAACAGCTCCGGTCTACAGCTCCCAGCGTGAGCGATGCAGAAGACGGGTGATTTCTGCATTTCCATCTGAGGTACCAGGTTCATCTCACTAGGGAGTGCCAGACAGTGGGCACAGGCCAGTGGGTGCGCGCACCTTGCGCGAGCCGAAGCAGGGCGAGGCATTGCCTCACCTGGGAAGCGCAAGGGGTCAGGGAGTTCCCTTTCCGAGTCAAAGAAAGGGGTGACGGATGCACCTGGAAAATCGGGTCACTCCCACCCGAATATTGCGCTTTTCAGACCAGCTTAAAAAAAGGCGCACCACGAGACTATATCCCACACCTGGCTCGGAGGGTCCTATGCCCACGGAATCTTGCTGATTGCTAGCACAGCAGTCTGAGATCAAACTGCAAGGCGGCAGCGAGGCTGGGGGATGGGCGCCCGCCATTGCCCAGGCTTGATTAGGTAAACAAAGCAGCCGGGAAGCTCAAACTGGGTGGAGCCCACCACAGCTCAAGGAGGCCTGCCTGCCTCTGTAGGCTCCACCTCTGGGGACAGGGCACAGATAAACAAAAAGACAGCAGTAACCTCTGCAGACTTAAGTGTCCCTGTCTGACAGCTTTGAAGAGAGCAGTGGTTCTCCCAGCACACAGCTGGAGATCTGAGAACCGGCAGACTGCCTCCTCAAGTGGGTCCCTGACCCCTGACCCCCGAGCAGCCTAACTGGGAGGCACCCCCCAGCAGGGGCACACTGACACCTCACACTGCAGGGTATTCCAACAGACCTGCAGCTGAGGGTCCTGTCTGTTAGAAGGAAAACTAACAAACAGAAAGGACATCCACACCGAAAACCCATCTGTACATCACCATCATCAAAGACCAAAAGTAGATAAAACCACAAAGATGGGGAAAAAACAGAACAGAAAAACTGGAAACTCTAAAACGCAGAGCGCCTCTCCTCCTCCAAAGGAACGCAGTTCCTCACCAGCAACGGAACAAAGCTGGATGGAGAATGATTTTGACGAGCTGAGAGAAGAAGGCTTCAGACGATCAAATTACTCTGAGCTACGGGAGGACATTCAAACCAAAGGCAAAGAAGTTGAAAACTTTGAAAAAAATTTAGAAGAATGTATAACTAGAATAACCAATACAAAGAAGTGCTTAAAGGAGCTGATGGAGCTGAAAACCAAGGCTCGAAAACTACGTGAAGAATGCAGAAGCCTCAGGAGCCGATGCGATCAACTGGAAGAAAGGGTATCAGCAATGGAAGATGAAATGAATGAAATGAAGCGAGAAGGGAAGTTTAGAGAAAAAAGAATAAAAAGAAATGAGCAAAGCCTCCAAGAAATATGGGACTATGTGAAAAGACCAAACCTACGTCTGATTGGTGTACCTGAAAGTGATGCGGAGAATGAAACCAAGTTGGAAAACACTCTGCAGGATATTATCCAGGAGAACTTCCCCAATCTAGCAAGGCAGGCCAACGTTCAGATTCAGGAAATACAGAGAACGCCACAAAGATACTCCTCAAGAAGAGCAACTCCAAGACACATAATTGTCAGATTCACCAAAGTTGAAATGAAGGAAAAAATGTTAAGGGCAGCCAGAGAGAAAGGTCGGGTTACCCTCAAAGGGAAGCCCATCAGACTAACAGCGGATCTCTCGGCAGAAACCCTACAAGCCAGAAGAGAGTGGGGGCCAATATTCAACACCCTTAAAGAAAAGAATTTTCAACCCAGAATTTCATATCCAGCCAAAATAAGCTTCATAAGTGAAGGAGAAATAAAATACTTTACAGACAAGCAAATGCTGAGAGATTTTGTCACCAGCAGGCCTGCCCTAGAAGACCTCCTGAAGGAAGCGCTAAACATGGAAAGGAACAACCGGTACCAGCTGCTGCAAAATCATGCCAAAACGTAAAGACCATCGAGACTAGGAAGAAACTGCATCAACTAACGAGCAAAATCACCAGCTAACATCATAATGACAGGATCAAATTCACACATAACAATATTAACTTTAAATGTAAATGGAGTAAATTCTCCAATTAAAAGACACAGACTGGCAAGTTGGATAAAGAGTCAAGACCCATCAGTGTGCTGTATTCAGGAAACCCATCTCACGTGCAGAGACACACATAGGCTCAAAATAAAAGGATGGAGGAAGATCTACCAAGCAAATGGAAAACAAAAAAAGGCAGGGGTTGCAATCCTAGTCTCTGATAAAACAGACTTTAAACCAACAAAGATCAGAAGAGACAAAGAAGGCCATTACATAATGGTAAAGGGATCAATTCAACAAGAGGAGCTAACTATCCTAAATATATATGCACCCAATACAGGAGCACCCAGATTCATAAAGCAAGTCCTGAGTGACCTACAAAGAGACTTAGACTCCCACACATTAATAATGGGTGACTTTAACACCCCACTGTCAACATTAGACAGATCAACGAGACAGAAAGTCAACAAGGATACCCAGGAATTGAACTCAGCTCTGCACCAAGCGGACCTAATAGACATCTACAGAACTCTCCACACCAAATCAACAGAATATACATTTTTTTCAGCACCACACTACACTTATTACAAAATTGACCACATACTTGGAAGTAAAGCTCTCCTCAGCAAATGTAAAAGAACAGAAATTATAACAAACTATCTCTCAGACCACAGTGCAATCAAACTAGAACTCAGGATTAGGAAACTCACTCAAAGCCGCTCAACTACATGGAAACTGAACAACCTGCTCCTGAATGACTACTGGGTACATTACGAAATGAAGGCAGAAATAAAGATGTTCTTTGAAGCCAACGAGAACAAAGACACAACATACCAGAATCTCTGGGACACATTCAAAGCAGTGTGTAGAGGGAAATTTATAGCACTAAATGCCCACAAGAGAAAGCAGGAAAGATCCAAAATTGACACCCTAACATCACAATTAAAAGAACTAGAAAAGCAAGAGCAAACACATTCAAAAGCTAGCAGAAGGCAAGAAATAACTAAAATCAGAGCAGAACTGAAGGAAATAGAGACACAAAAAACCCTTCAAAAAATCAATGAATCCAGGAGCTGGTTTTTTGAAAGGATCAACAAAATTGATAGACCGCTAGCAAGACTAATAAAGAATAAAAGAGAGAAGAATCAAATAGACACAATAAAAAATGATAAAGGGGATATCACCACCGATCCCACAGAAATACAAACTACCATCAGAGAATACTACAAACACCTCTATGCAAATAAACCAGAAAATCTAGAAGAAATGGATAAATTCCTGGACACATACACTCTCCCAAGACTAAACCAGGAAGAAGTTGAATCTCTGAATAGACCAATAACAGGATCTGAAATTGTGGCAATAATCAATAGTTTACCAACCAAAAAGAGTCCAGGACCAGATGGATTCACAGCCGAATTCTACCAGAGGTACAAGGAGGAACTGGTACCATTCCTTCTGAAACTATTCCAATCAATAGAAAAAGAGGGAATCCTCCCTAACTCATTTTAGGAGGTCAGCATCATTCTGATACCAAAGCCTGGCAGAGACACAACCAAAAAAGAGAATTTTAGACCAATATCCTTGATAAACATTGATGCAAAAATCCTCAATAAAATACTGGCAAAATGAATCCAGCAGCACATCAAAAAGCTTATCCACCATGATCAAGTGGGCTTCATCCCTAGGATGCAAGGCTGGTTCAATATACACAAATCAATAAATGTAATCCAGCATATAAACAGAGCCAAAGACAAAAACCACATGATTATCTCAATAGATGCAGAAAAAGCCTTTGACAAAATTCAACAACCCTTCATGCTAAAAACTCTCAATAAATTAGGTATTGATGGGACGTATTTCAAAATAATAAGAGCTATCTATGACAAACCCACAGCCAATATCATACTGAATGGGCAAAAACTGGAAGCATTCCCTTTGAAAACTGGCACAAGACAGGGATGCCCTCTCTCACCGCTCCTATTCAACATAGTGTTGGAAGTTCTGGCCAGGGCAATCAGGCAGGAGAAGGAAATAAAGGGTATTCAATTAGGAAAAGAGGAAGTCAAATTATCCCTGTTTGCAGACGACATGATTCTTTATCTAGAAAACCCCATCGTCTCAGCCCAAAATCTCCTTAAGCTGATAAGCAACTTCAGCAAAGTCTCAGGATACAAAATCAATGTACAAAAATCACAAGCATTCCTATACACCAACAACAGACAAACAGAGAGCCAAATCATGAGTGAACTCCCATTCACAATTGCTTCAAAGAGAATAAAATACCTAGGAATCCAACTTACAAGGGATGTGAAGGACCTCTTCAAGGAGAACTACAAACCACTGCTCAAGGAAATAAAAGAGGATACAAACACATGGAAGAACATTCCATGCTCATGGGTAGGAAGAATCAATATCGTGAAAATGGCCATACTGCCCAAGGTAATTTACAGATTCAATGCCATTCCCATCAAGCTACCAATGACTTTCCTCACAGAATTGGAAAAAACTACTTTAAAGTTCATATGGAACCAAAAAAGAGCCCGCATCGCCAAGTCAATCCTAAGCCAAAAGAACAAAGCTGGAGGTATCACACTACCTGACTTCAAACTATACTACAAGGCTACAGTAACCAAAACAGCATGGTACTGGTACCAAAACAGAGATATAGATCAATGGAACAGAACAGAGCCCTCAGAAATAACGCCGCATACCTACAACTATCCGATCTTTGACAAACCTGAGAAAAACAAGCAATGGGGAAAGGATTCCCTATTTAATAAATGGTGCTGGGAAAACTGGCTAGCCATATGTAGAAAGCTGAAACTGGATCCCTTCCTTACACCTTATACAAAAATCAATTCAAGATGGATTAAAGATTTAAACGTTAGACCTAAAACCATAAAAACCCTAGAAGAAAACCTAGGCATTACCATTCAGGACATAGGCGTGGGCAAGGACTTCATGTCCAAAACACCAAAAGCAATGGCAACAAAAGCCAAAATTGACAAATGGGATCTAATTAAACTAAAGAGCTTCTGCACAGCAAAAGAAACTACCATCAGAGTGAACAGGCAACCTACAACATGGGAGAAAATTTTCGCAACCTACTCATCTGACAAAGGGCTAATATCCAGAATCTACAATGAACTCAAACAAATTTACAAGAAAAAAACAAACAACCCCATCAAAAAGTGGGCGAAGGACATGAACAGACACTTCTCAAAAGAAGACATTTATGCAGCCAAAAAACACATGAAAAAATGCTCATCATCACTGGCCATCAGAGAAATGCAAGTCAAAACCACTATGAGATATCATCTCACACCAGGTAGAATGGCAATCATTAAAAAGTCAGGAAACAACAGGTGCTGGAGAGGATGTGGAGAAATAGGAACACTTTTACACTGTTGGTGGGACTGTAAACTAGTTCAACCATTGTGGAAGTCAGTGTGGCGATTCCTCAGGGATCTAGAACTAGAAATACCATTTGACCCAGCCATCCCATTACTGGGTATATACCCAAAGGACTATAAATCATGCTGCTATAAAGGCACATGCACACGTATGTTTATTGCGGCATTATTCACAATAGCAAAGACTTGGAACCAACCCAAATGTCCAACAATGATAGACTGGATTAAGAAAATGTGGCACATATACACCATGGAATACTATGCAGCCATAAAAAATGATGAGTTCATGTCCTTTGTAGGGACATGGATGAAATTGGAAACCATCATTCTCAGTAAACTATCGCAAGAACAAAAAACCAAACACCGCATATTCTCACTCATAGATGGGAATTGAACAATGAGATCACATGGACACAGGAAGGGGAATATCACACTCTGGGGACTGTGGTGGGGAGGTGGGAGGGGGGAGGGATAGCATTGGGAGATATACCTAATGCTAGATGACGAGTTAGTGGGTGCAGCACACCAGCATGGCACATGTATACATATGTAACTAACCTGCACAATGTGCACATGTACCCTAAAACTTAAAGTATAATTAAAAATAAATAAATAAATAAATAAATAAATAAATAAATAAATAAAAAGAAAGGATCCTAAAAGCAGCAAGAGAAAAGAAGCAAGTAACAGAAAACAGAGCTCTCCTAAGTCTGGCAGCAGAATTCTCAGTGGAAACCTTATAGGCTAGGAGAGAATGGCATGCCATATTTAAAGTGCTGAAGGAAAATACTTTTACCCTGGAATAGTATATCCAGTGAAAACATCCTTCAAACATGAAGGAGAAATAAAGACTTTCCCAGACAAACAAAAGCTGAGGGATTTCATGAATACCAGAATCATCCAACAAGAAATGCTAATGAAATTTCTTCAATTAGAAAGAAAAGAACATTAATGAGCAATAAATAATTATTTGAAAGTACAAAACTCACTGGTAATAGTAAGTATACAGAAAAATTATGCAATATTATAACAGTGTAATTGTGTTGTGTAAATTACTAAATTGCTCCTGTTTCAAGTGGAAAGACTAAGCAATGAACCAATAAAAAATAATAACTACAATCACTTTTTAATACATAGTATAATAAGATATAAATGGAAACAACATAAAATTAGAAATTGAGAGGACGAAGTCTAGGTGAGTGTTTATTAGTGGTTTTTTCTTCTTCTTTTTTTAGTTTTTTATGCAAATAGTGTTAAGTTGTTATCAGGTTAAAATAATCAAACCAAAAAACATACAATCAATACACAAAAGATAACAAGCGAGAAACTAACTACTATCATGAGAGAAAAATATCTTCACTAGAGGAAGAAAGAAAAGAAAGAAAGAAGTCTCCAACCAAAAGACATAAACAAGCTAAATGGATGAAAAAAATGAGATCCATTGACCTATTTCCTACAAGAAACACACTTTACCTATAAAGACACACATAAACTGAAAATAAAGAAATGGAAAAAGATATTCCATGCCAAAGGAAACCAGAAAAGAATAGGAGTAGCTATAACCACATAAGAGAGAAAAAAATAGATTTCAGGACAAAAACTATCAGTAGAGACAAAGAATGTCACTATATAATGATAAAGGGATCAATTCAGCAACAGGATATAACAATTTTAAACATACATGCACCCAACACAAGAGCTCCCAGATATATTAAGAAAATATTATTAGAGTGAAAGTGAGAGGTCCCAAAACAATAACATCTGGAGACTTCAAGGCCCCACTTTCAGAACTTTTAGACAGATCTTTCAGACAGAAAATAAACAAAGGAACATTGATCTTATTCTGAACTATAGACCAAATGGATCTAATAGGTATTTACAGAACATTTCATTCAAAAGCTGCCAAGTACGCATTTTTTTCCTCAGGATATGGATTATTCTCAAGGATAAAACATATGTTAGGTCACAAAACAAGACTTGTAACATTCAAAAAAACCTGAAGTAATATCAAGCATCCGGCCAGTGCAGTGGTTCACGCCTGTAATCCCAGCACTTTGGGAGGCTGAGGCGGGTGGATCATGAGGTCAGGAGTTTGAGACCAGTCTGGCCAACATAGTGAAACTCTGTCTCTACTAAAAATACAAAAAATTAGCTGGCTGTGGTGGTGTGCACCTGTAATCCCAGCTACTCAGGAGTGTGAGGCAGGAGAATCACTTGAACCTGGGAGGTGGAGGTTGCAGTGAGCTGAGATCATGCCACTGCACTCCAGCCCTGGTGACAGTGCCAGACTCTGTCAAAAAAAAAAAAAAAAAAAAAAAAAAAAACCAAGCATCCTCTCTGACAACAGTGGAATGAAAATAAAAATTGATAACAAAAAATTTTTGAAAATTATACAAATACATGGAAATTAAACAGTATGTGCCTGAATGATCAGTGGGTAAATTTGAAAAATTAAGACAAAAATTTTAAAATTTATTGGAACATTTGATAATGAAAACACAACATACTAAAAACTATGAGATACAGCAAAAGCAATACTAAGAGGAAAATTTATAGCTATACATGCCTACATCAATGAAGAGAAAAAAATTCTAATAAGCAATTTAATGTGTCTTAAAGAACTAGGGATACAAGAACAAAGAAAACCCAAAATTAGTAGAAGAAATAATAAAGACCAGAGTAGAAATATATGAAACTGAAATAAACAATACAAAAGATTAGTGAAACAGTTTGTTTTTTGAAAAGTTTTACAAAATTGACATATGTTTAGCCAGACTAACTGAGAAAAAAAAGGAGAAGATTCACATAAATAAAACCGTAAATAAAAGAGAAGATATTACAACAAATACTGAAAAAATTAAAAGGGTAATTAGTGCCTACTTAGATCAACTATATGCCAATAAATTGGAAAATCTAGAAGAAGTAGACCAATTCCTTACACAACCTTCCAAGATTGAAGGAAGAAGAAATTCAAACCCTGAACAGACCAATTCCAAGCAACTAGATCAAAGCCATAATAAAAAGTCTTCCAGTAAAAAAAGTCCTACAATCAGATAGATTTACTGATGAATTCTATCAAACATTGAAAGAAGAATTAAGATGGCAAGAAAGTAATGGTGGATAGTAGTCAAGACTAACATGCAGCTTCCACTCAGATGAACAGAACAGTATGTGGAGACTCACATAATTAACTTTTGCTCCAAGAACTACAACAGGAACATATCAGGAAAGCAAATATAATTCACAGAACTTTTGAAGAAAGCAGCTTGCCACTGCGCAGGCTCCTTAAAACAGCCAAAAAACTGTGAGTGCCCAAAGTATAAGAGGGGAAATGTCTGCCCCAAAACACATCCTCACTGAGAAACCTGAAAATTTAGATCATGGGAGAAGGATTTGACCTTATCTAGAGCTGAGACAAATTTAGAGAGCCAAGCAAAATATAAGGGTTGAGGAAACAGAAGGAAATACCCTGTGGCACTTTTGGTCCTCGGGAAAGCCACTTTTGACTTTGTCTTTCAGGGATCCGTGGGAAGGGTTGCCAGTGGAATTGGAGAAAGACCACAGGGAGAAGGAAACCTCCAGCTTGACATTGTAACATTTCTGACTGAACGTGAACTTTCATGGACAGAGAATCCAGGGGAGGGGGCAGATGATGAGTGCAGATTCAAGCACAGAAATCACAGCAGACAGGGAGACACAGAACCTAGCAGCCCTGCTTGCATTCTCAGCGAGTAGGCTTGTAGCCTGGGGCAAGTTCTCAGCCCTGCACATAGGCCAACTGGAAATATACTCGATGCTGTTGGGGGGTCATGGTGGGAGTGAGACTGGCCCTTTGGGCTGTGTGAGATCTGGATGAGGCCTGTCATTGTTGGCTTTTCTCCACTTCCCTGGCAACCTGTGTGACACAGGAGAGGCAGCCAAAATCCCCTGGGAATGTAACTCCATTGACCTGAGAACCACAGCCTCATCACCCATAGCAGCCTCAGCAAACCCTGCCAAAGGAGAGTCTGAGCTCAGACACACCTATCTCTGCCCCACCTGATGTTATTTCTCTACCTGCTAATCTCATGGTAGTTCAATGGCCCCACCCAACACCTGAGAAATTCAAATACCTATGCAGGTGACCTTAGGTCAATCTTGTATTCTTCCTATAGTACTGTAGTTGATGCTCTTTTCAAAGCACCAACTGCTGGCTGGAGGTCAACCGTCACAAAACCAGCACACTAAACAAAACAAAACCAAGGACCTTCACAGAGTACACTTCTCTTTCTTGCTACCTCTACCATAGTAGTTGCTGGTATCCACGGCTGAGAGATATAAAGGTGGATTATATCACAGGACTATTTGGAGATACTCCCTAGTGCCAGCCCAGAGCCCAGTAGCACTGCTGGGTGGCTAGACCCAGAAAAGAAAGAACAATCACTGGACTCTCAGGAAGTCCCATCCCTAGGGAAAGGAGGAGAGCACCACATCAAGGGAGCACCCTGCAAGATGAAAGAATCTGAAAAACAGCACTTGAGCCCCAGATCTTCCCTCTGACAGCCTACTCAAATAAGAAGGAACAAGAAAAAACTATTCTGGTAAATGACAAAACAATGTTCTTTAACATCCCCAAAAGAGCACACTAGTGTATCAGTAATGGATCCAAACCAAGAAGAAATCTTTTAATTTCCAGAGAAAGAATTCAAAAGGTTGACTACTAAGCTACTCAAGAAGGCACCAGAGAAAGGTGAATACCAACTTAAAGAAATACAAAAAATAGGCCAGGCACGGTGGCTCATGCCTGTAATCCCAGCTCTTTGGGAGGCCGAGGAAGGCGGACCACGAGGTCAAGAGATCGAGACGATCCTGGCCAACATGGTGAAACCCAGTCTCTACTAAAAATACAAAAATTAGCTGGGCGTGGTGGTGCATGCCTGTAGTCCCAGCTACTCGGGAGGCTGAGGCAGGAGAATTGCTTGAACTCAGGAGGCGGAGGTTGCAGTGAGCTGAGATCACTCCACTGCACTCCAGCCTGGCAACAGAGCAAGATTCCATCTAAAAAAATAAAAAGAAAGAAAGAAAGAAATACAGAAAAAAAAATACAGGATATGAATGAAAAAATCTCCAGATAAATAGACAGCATAAATAAAAACCAATCACAACTTCTGGAAATGAAGGACACACTGAGAGAAATGCAAAATACACTGGAATGTCTCAGCAATAGAATCGAACAATTAAAGAAAGAAGTTCAGAGCTTTAAGACAAGCCTTTCAAATTAACTCAACCTGGTAAACACAAAGAAAAAAGAATAAAAATAAATGAACAAAGCCACCAAGAATTTTGAGATTATGTTAAATGACCAAGCCTAAGAATAATTGGTGTTCCTGAGAATGAAGAGAAACCTAAAAGTTTGGAGAACATATTTCAGGGAATAGTCAAGGAAAACTTCCATGGCCTTGCCAGAGATCTAGACATCCAAATACAAGAAGCTCAAAGAATAACTAGGAAATTCATCATAAAAAATTATTTCATAGGCACATAGTCATCAGGTTATCTAAAGTCAAGATGAAGGAGAGAATCTTAAGAGCCATGAGGCAAAAGCAACAGGTAACCTATAAAGGAAAACTTGTCAGACTAACAGCATATTTCTCAGCAGACACTCTACAATCTAGAAGGAATTGGGGTTTCATTTTTAGTCTCCTAAAACACAGCAGTTATCAGCCAATAATTTTGTATTCAGAGAAACTAATCTTCATAAATGAAGGAAAGATAAAGTCTTTTTTACAAAAATAAATGCTGAGAAAATTCACCGCTATAAAGCCAGCACTACAAGAAATGCTCAAAGGAGCTCTATATTTTAAAACAAATCCTTGAAATACACCAAAATAGAACCTCCTTAAAGCATGAATCTCACAGAAACTATAAAACAACAACACAATTTTAAAAAAGACATTCACGCAATAGCTAGCACAATGAATAGAATAGTACCTTATATGTCAATACTCACGTTGAATCTAAATGGCCTAAATGCTCCATTTAAAACATACAGAATGGCAAAATGAATATAAATTCACCAACCAAACATATGCTGTCTTTAAGAGACTCACCTAATACATAAGGACTCACATAAACTTAAGGTTAAGGGATCAAAAAAAAGAAAAAGAAAAAGAAATAACCAAAATCAGAACTGAACTGAATGAAATTGAGATGCAAAAATGAATATAAAAATTAATAAAACTGAAGGTTGTTTCTTTGAAAAGATAAATAATATTGATTGAATGCTATGTAGGCTAATATAACAAGAGAGAATATACAAATAAAAATGATCAGAAATGATAATAAAAAGACATTACCACTGACCCCATATAAATACAAAAATCCCTCAGAGACTCTTACAAATAACAAAAACTAGAAAACCTAGAAGAAACTGATAAATTTATGGAAACATACAATCTCCTTATATTGAACCAGGAAGAAATTGAAACCCTGAACAGAACAATAATGAGTTGCAAAGTTGAATCAGTAAGAAAAAACCTACAAACAGGAAAAAGCCCTGGACAGACATATTCACAATCAAAATTTACCAGTCATATAATCCAGAACTGTACCAATACTACTAAAACTATTAAAAATTTTGGCAGTAAGAAAATTCTCTCAAACTTATTCTATGAGGCTGGCAATATTCTGATACCAAAATCTGTCAGAGAAACAAATAAAAAAAATTTTCAGGTTAATATTCCTGATGAACCCGGATGCAAAAATCTTCACAAAATACTAGCAAACTGAATTCAGCAGAAAATCAAAAAAGCTAATCCACCACAACAAAAAAGGCTTTATTCCTGATATATGGGTTAAAATATGCAAATCAATAAATGTGATTCATCACACAAACAGAACTAAAAACTAAAACCACATAATAATCTCAATTAACACAAAAAAGCTTTTGATAAAATTCAACATCTCTTTACATTAGAAACAATAAGAAAACTAGTCATTGAAAGAACATACCTCAAAATAATAAGAGCCATCTATGACATACATCCAGCAAACATCATACTAAATGGACAAAGCTGAAAGCATTTCCCTTGAGAACCTTAGGAAGGTAAAAATTTTCTCTCATACCACTACTATTAAACATAGTAATGGAAGTCTTAGCCAGAGCAATCAGGCAAAAAAAGTAAATACAAGGTATCCAAATAGAAAGAGAGGAACTCAAACTATCTCTCTTCATGGACAGTATAATTATATACCCAGAAAACCTCATAGACTCTTTTTTTTTAATATCTCTTAGATCTTGTAAAATACTTCTGCAAAGTTTTAGGATACCTAATCATGAATCAGTAGCATTTCTATACACTTACATTGTAGGTATAGATGTATAGAAATATATAATGTTTAAGCTGAGAGCCAAATCAAGAATGCAATCCCATTCACAATAGCCCCCCTAAAGAATAAAATACCTCAGAATACAGTCTACCAAGGAGGTAAAAAGTCTCTACAGTGAGAATTACAAAACAATGATGAAACAAATGAGAGATGATACAAAAATATGAAAAGAACATTCCATTCTCATAGATAGGAAGAATCAATATTGTTAAAATGGCCATACTGTCCAATGCAATTCACAGATTCAATGCCGTTCCTATCAAATTATCAATTACATTATTTGCATAATTAGAAAAAAACTATTCTAAAATTCATATGGAACCAAAAAGAAGCCTGGATAGGCTAGGCAATTTTAAATAAAAAGACTGAAGCTGGATACATCACACTACCTAACTTCAAATCTATACTTCAAATATTATGAGGCTATAGTAACCAAACAGCATGACACTGGTACAAAAGCTAACATACAGAACAATAGAAAAGGCAAGAGAACTCAGAAATAAAGCCGCACAACTACAACCATCTGATCTATGAAAAAGTTGACAAAAATATTCAATATAGGAAAACTTCTCTATTCAGTATGTGGTGCTGTGATAACTGACTAGCTAGATGCAGAACAATTAAACTGGACCATTTTGTTTTACCATATACAAAAATCAACTCAAGATGGATAGAAAACTTAAATGTAAAACCTAAACCTATAAAAACCCTAGAAAGAAATTTATTAATAAAAATTTCATTCTGAACATAAGCTCTGAAAAAGATTTCATGATGAAAATGCTAAAAGCAATTGCAACGAAAACATACATTGACAAGTGGGACCTAATTAAACTGAAAACCTTCTGCACAGCAAAAGAAACTACCAACATAGTTAACAGACAACCTACAGAATGTGACAAAATATTTGCAAACTATGGATCTGACAAAGGTCCAGTGTTCAAAACCATAAGGAAAGTAAACAAATTTGCAATAAAAAACTTATTAAAAATGGACAAAGTACATGAACAGAGACTTCTCTAATAAAAGCATACATACAGCCAACAAAAATCTTAAAAATGCTCAGCGTCACTAATTAATAAAATGCAACTTAAAACCACAATGACGTACCATTTCACACCAGTCAGAATGGCTGTTATTAAAATGTCAAAAGATAAAAGATGCTAGTGAGGTTGCAGAACAAAAGAAATGCTTATGTGTTGCTGGTGGGAACGTAAATTACTTCATCCACTGTAGAAAGCAGTTTGGAGAGTTTTCCAAGAGCTTAAAACAGAATTACCATTCGACCAAGCAATCCCATTACTGGGTATATATCCAAAGAAATATATTTTACCCTAAAGGCCCATTTGCACTTATATTCATGACAGCACTATTCACAATAGCAGAGACATGAAATCAACATAGATTCTCATCAATGGTGGATTGTATAAAAATGTAGTACATATACATTATGGGATGCTATGAAGCCATAAAATAAGATTATGTTCTTTGCAGCAACATGCATGGAACTGGAGGCCATTATTCTAAGTGAATTAGTGCAGAAACAAAACAAACAAAAAAACCCATTACCATATGTTCTCACCTATACATGGGAAGTAAAATTTGAATACACATGAACACAGAGAAGAAATCAATAGACATCAGGACCTACTTCAGGATGGAGGGTGGGAGGAGGGTGAGGATCAAAAAACTCTGTCAGGTACTGTGCTTATTACCTGGGTGTCAAAATAATCTGTACATGGAACTCTCATGACATGCAGTTGACCCTTGTAAAAAACTTGCACATGTGCCCCCGAGTCTAAAATATAAGTTGGGAAAAATAAAAATTAATGGTCAAAGACCTCGAATAGACATTTTTCCAAAGACAGTGGGTAATGACATTTGAAAAGATGCTAAACATTATTAGTTACTAGATTAATTAAAATAAATATAAAATTTAGGTTTTTTTTACATTTTAAGATGACTACTTTTTTTATTGTTATTTTTAATTGACACAGGGTTTTGCTCTGTTGCCCAGGCTAGAGTGCAGTGGTGCAATTACAGCTCACTGCAATGTCAACCTCCCAAGCTCAATCAATTAACCTGCCTCAGCCTCCAAAGTAGCTGGAACTACAGATACATGCCACCATGCCTGGCTAATTTGTGTACTTTTGTAGAGACAGGGTTTCTGCATGTTGCCCAGGCTGGTCTCAAACTCCTGGGCTCAAGCTAACTGCCTGCCTCAGCCTCACAAAGTTTTGGGATTACAGGTGTGAGCTATCATGCCAAACTTACAATTATTTTTTAAATTAAAATTTTAAAAAAAGTGTACAGAGATGTGCAGAAATTGAAACCCTGGTATATTGCTGGTCAGAATAGAAATAGTACTACTGCAATGGAACACAAGTTAGGTGTTTCTTAGAAGTTTGACATATCTGAATGTTATTAACTTGATGGAAGACTAGGAATCTTCAGTTCTTTGCTCCTATAGAGAAATATTAACTTCTAAAGACTGGCTAAAATAACATTATTCTAGCTTTGGTAGCCAAACAAAGCTTTAGAGCAATCAAGCAAAGGCCCATGAAAAAGCTACATTTAAAATGCTAAAAAATATTGTGGATTTATACTTACTCTTTCTCCACCATGTCCCCAGAAGCAAATTTGAGGGAAAAAAAAAAAAACTGCTCAAATTTTATTTCCATTCTTTGATGGAAAGAAGCAGAGCAAAACTTATTTATATGGTTCTAACCTACATGTGAACTACCCAAGTTTTATCTTTTGCCTTACTTGTAACTCAGACAAAGAAATGTAACATACTGTGAATCTCAGGCTGGCAAGAACTGTAGAAGGCAGTAGAATGTGGCACAGCAGATGAAAGCTGCAAAGAAACTGCCAGTCTACAGGAGCCTAGGGAAAGAGATTATTAAAAAGGGATAAAAGATAATATTTAAGGCCATGAGAAGACTATAGGTGGAGACTCACTGATGTATTGGTACATTTCAAAGCAGCAATATATATAGGAAAAATTAATGAAGAAGTTCACCCTAGCCCTGGCATGAAGGATGTACAAAAAGGAACTCAGAAGACCTCAAGCCTTATCACTAGGCTAATTCCAAGACTCAGAACATTCCCTGCTAAGCACAGAAAGCCTAAAAAAGGTAGCTTTTTTTTTGAACATGTACTTTTAAACAAAATTCACAAGGTATGCAAAAAATCAACAACAACCACAAAAAACCGTGGCCCACATCAAAGAACAAAATAAATTTTTGAAACTGTCCTTAAATGAACACAGACAAGATACAGAAAAGAACCCCATAGGCATTGTATGTACAATAAAAAGGCTTTAAAACAGTAGTCTTAAATATGCTATACATAAAAAGCAAAAGGAAAATATGGACAAAGAAATAGAGAAAACCAGAAAAAATGGGAACAAAATAGAATTCCCACAAAGAAAAAATATTAAAAAGAATAAAACAAATTATACAACTGAAAAATACAATAACTATTTGAAAAAACTAATTAGAGGGCATAAATTAATTAGTTAACTTAGGACAAGGTACTCCTGGAATACTTTTTTTTTTTTTTTTTTTTTTGAGACAGAGTCTCGCTCTGTCACCCAGACTGGAGTGCAATGGCACAATCTTGGCTCACTACAACCTCTGCTTCCCAAGTTCAAGTGATTCTCCTGCCTCAGCCTCCTGAGTAGCTGAGATTACAGGTGTGCACCACCACACCCGGGTAATTTTTGTATTTTTAGTGGAGACAGGGTTTCACCATGTTGGTCAGGCTGGTCTCAAACTCCTGACCTCGTGATCTGCCCACCTCAGCCTCCCAAAGTGCTGGGATTACAGGCATGAGCCACCGCACCCAGCCAAGGAATAATTTTAAAAATGATTTTAAAAATGAAAATAGCCTAAGGGACTTATAGGAACCCATCAAGTGGACCAGTATACACATTATGAGAATACTAAAATAAGAACAAAGAAAGATATAGGGAGCTTGTTTGAAGAAATAATGGTTGAAAATGTTCCAAATATGATGAAATAAACTAATATACAAATAAAAAAAGCAAAACAAACTTTAAATAGGACCATTACATGAGAAAAACAACACTCTTTTCAAGAAATGGGACTGGGAAAACTCAATATCCATAAGCAAAAAAGTAAAGTTGAATTCTTACCCTATGCACATACAAAAATTAACCCAAAATGAACAAAAGGAAAGAGGGGGCAAAATAAGATGACCAAATAGAAGACTCCACCAATTATTCCCCTGTCAGGAACACCAAATTAAACAACTATCTATACGAAAGCACCTTCATAAGAATTAAAAATCAGGTGAGCCATCACAGTACCTGATTTTAACTTCATATCACTAAGATAGGCACTGAAGAGGGTAGAAAAAGGCCATCATGAAATGCCAACACCATCTCTCTCCCATGCTCTGGCAGTGGCCATGAGAAGTGGAGACGAAATCTGAAACTCAATGTTGCTCTGCTGATATGGTTTTGCTGTGACCCCACCCAAATTTCATTTTTAATTGTAGCTGCCAAAATTCCCATGTCATGTGAGGGATCTGGTGGGAGGTAATTAAATAACGGATGTGGTTCTTTCCCATGCTCTTCTTGTGATAGTGGATAAGTCTCATGAGATCTGATGGTTTTATAAATAAGAGTTTCCCTCCCAAGCTTTTTCTCTTGTCTACTGCCATGCAAGATGTGCCTTTTACCTTCCACCATGACTGTGAGGCCTCCCCAGCCACGTGAAACTGTGAGTCCATTAAAACTCTTTCTTTTGTAAATGGCCCAGTCTCAGGTATATCTTTATCAGTGTCATGAAAATAGACTAATACACCTATCATGGCAGAAAGAAAAACTGGGCTGGACTAAGTTGATACTCATGGAGACATCATTTAGATGAACCCTTGCAAAGAGCGAATTGCCCATCCCATGAGTCATGATTGAGTTTCAACAAACCTCACCATCATGGGCTAAAGTGTTTTGGGGATCTAAATAAACCTTAAAGGCAGTCTGGGCCACAAGGACTACAAATCCTAGGCATGCCTTGGTGCTGAGCTGTGCTCAGAGCTAGTGGACTTAGGGGGCACATGACCTAGTGAGACATGGAGGCCAAAGAATTGCTTGAACCACCCCTGTCTTAATTCCAGGCAGTACCGCACAAAGCAAAAAAAAAAAAGACTCATTTCTTCCACTTGAGGTTATGAGAGTAATAAATAAAATGGTCTTTTTCTTGCAAGTAACATACCAGCTCAGCTACAGCAGGATAGGACACTGGACAGCCTGTGAGGCCTGTTTTCCAGGCACTAGCTCCAAGATGACATTTCTATAATAGAAACACCCTGGGCCAGAAGAGAATATACTGTCTTGAAGGGAAGGGCCAATCCTGACAGAATTCATCATCTGCTTAATAAAGGGTGCTTGGGCCCTGAGTATCCAGCAGAAATATCCAGGTGGTATACCCTGGGCCTTGGGTGAGACTCTGAGACATGCTGGCTTCATGTAAGAGCCAGTGCATTCACAGCTAAGTTGGCTATGGCGAGATACTCCTTCTGCTTTAGAACAGCAGAAGGAACAGTAATGGGAGCTTAGTATTGCGCCTCAAGTACCAACTTTGCAAGAGTGGGTAGAGCACCAAGAAGGCTCTTGGGGGCATTGATTCCAGACCTTGACTCTTGAAGAGTATTTACAGACCTTCCCTGGGTGAGAGGGCAACCCACTGTCCTATAGTGTGAGTCTCAGGCCTGGCAACATTCAACACAAGCTGACTGAAAAGCCCTTAGGCCTTAAGTGAACATCAGCATCAGCCTAGCAATACTCTCTTGGGCCTATGCTGGTGGTGGCCATGGGGAGAGGATTCTCTGCCTATGGAAAGGAGAAGTAAGAATGGAAAATACTTTATTTTGTAATTTGAGTGCCAGTTTAGCTGCAGTTAAAGAGAGAACCAGGTAGATTTCTAGGTTTTTGACTCTAGTCCCTGGCTTCAGGATGGCACCTCTGAACCTGCATGAGGCCTGGAGGAACCCACAGCCCTGAAGGGAAGAACATTAAGACTGGCTGGCTTCAGCACTTCTTAATAGTAGAGCCCTAGGGCCTTGAGCAAACATATGCGGTAGCCACAAAGTGGTTACAGTGGGCCTTGAGCAACACCCCATGATGTACTGACTTCAGGTCTGATACACTGCAGTCCTAGTATTGTTGGCTACAGGGGGGCTTGTGTCACCCCTCCCCCAGCTCTAAGTGGCTCAACACAAAGATAATCTGTATGTTCGGAAAGAAGTAATGGAAAAGAGCAAGAGCTTTCAAATGGTGATCCAGAGAATTTTTCCAGATATCACAAAAGATGTCAAATGAGGTACCTCTATGAGTCTGTAAGAATCACAGCATTACTGAGCTTAAGTTGCTCCATGATATAGATATAACTCAGATTACAACATGCAAGTACCTTTGAGTACCTGAAAAGCCCTTCCAAGAAGCACAGGTGCAAACAAGCCCAGACTGCAAAGACTACAATAAATAACTAATTTTCAGTGAATGTTCAAATCCTAGCAAACATCTACAAACATCACGACCACACAGAAAAACATAGCATCAAAAACAAACTAAATAAGGCACTAAGGAGAAATCCTGGAGAGACAGACATATGTGACCTTGTAGACAAAGAATTCAGAATAATTCTTTTGAGGAAACAACAATAAATTCAAGACTACACAGAGAAGGAATTCAATATTCTATCAGATAAATTTGACAAAGAAATCAATTAAAAAGAATCAAACAGAAATTCTGGAGTAAAAATGCAATTGACATACTGACAAATGCATCTGGGTAACTCAGTAGCAGAATTTATCAAGCAGAAGAAAGAATTAGTGAGCTTGAAGAGAGGCTATTAGAAAATACAAAGAGGAGACAAAAAAAGTAAAGAGAAGTAAGCATTTCTATAAGATGTAGAAAATGGCCTCAAAAGGGCAAATCTCAGAGTTATTGGCCCTAAATAAGAGGGAGAGAAAGAGATAGGTGTAGAACATTTATTCAAAAGAATTTTAGAAGAAAACTTCTCAAACCTAGGGAAAATAATTAATATTCAAGTACAAGAAGCTTATAGAACACCAGCAGATTTAACCCAATGTAGACTACCTTAATTCATTTAATAATCAAACTCCCAAGAAGCAAGAGAAAAGAAACAAATGACATACAATGGAGTGCCAATACTTCTGACAGTAGACTTCCCAATGGAAACCTTAAAGGCCAGGTGACAGTGGCACATCACATTTAAAGTGTTGAAGAAAAAGAAACTTTTATCTTAAAATACTATACTTGTTGAGAATATTATTTGAACATGAAGGAGGAATAAAGACTTTTCCAGACCAACAAAAGCTGGGGGATTTCATCAGACCTGCCCTACAAGAATATTTTTTTTTTTGAGATGGAATCTTGCACTGTCACCAAGGCTAGAGTGCAATGGTGTGATTTCAGCTCACTGCAACCTCTGCCTCCTGGGTTCAAGCAATTCTCCTGCCTCAGACTCCTGAGTAGCTGGGATTACAGGTTCCTGCCACCATGCCTGGCTAATTTTTTGTATTTTTAGTAGAGGTGGGCTTTCACTATGTTGGCCAGGTTGGTCTCGACCTCCTGACCTCATGATCTACACACCTTGGCCTCCCAAACTGCTGGGATTACAGGTGAGAGCCACCATGCCTGGCCCTCTACAAGAAATTCTAATGGGAGATATTCAATCTGAAAGGAAAGATTGTTAGTGAACGACAAGAAAACATTTGAAGTTCCAAAACTTACTGAAAATAGTAAGTACAGAGAAAAACACAGATTATCATGACACTATGCTTGGGATGTATAAACTACTCATCTTAAGTAGAAAGACTAAAAGATAAATGAATCAAGAATAATAAATACAACAACTTTTCAAGACATAAACTGTACAATAAGATACAAATAGAAACAACAACAAATAAAAACCTGGGGGAATGGAATTAAAATATACGGACTTTATTAGATTTCTCTTTGTTTATTTGTTTGTTTATGCAATCAGTTTAAAATGATGGGCTATTCAATAGTATTTGTAAGCCTCATTTCAACCTCAAATCAAAAAACATTCAAAAAATACACAAAAAATAAAAGGAAAGTAATTAAAATATACCACTACAGAGAATAATCTTTACTAAAAGAAAAAATAAGGAAAGAAAGAAGGAAGAGTAGACCACGAAACAACCAGAAAACAAATAATAAAATGTTGGGTGTAAGTCTGTACTTATCAATAATAATATTGAATGTAAATGGACTAAACTCTCCAATCAAAACACATAGAGTGATTAGATGGATAAAGAAAAAGACCCAATGATCTGTTGCCTACAGGAAATGCATATCACCTACAAAGCCACACATAGACTGAAAACAAAGGGATGGACAAAGATATTCCATGTCAATGGAAACCAAAAAGAGCAGCAGTAGTAGTTATAATTACAAAAGACATAATAGATTCAAAGAAAAAAATAACTGTAAGAAGTGACGAAGAAGGTTACTATATAATGATAAAGGGGCCTGTTGGGAACAGGCCCCCAAATCTGGCCATAAACTGTCCCCGAACCTGGCTATAAACAAAATCTCTGTAGCACTGTGACATGTTCATGATGGCCATGACGCCCACACTGAAGGTTGTGGGTTTACTGGAATGAGGGCAAGGAACACCTGGCCCACCCAGTGTGGAAAATCGCTTAAAGGCGCTCCTAAACCACAAACAATGGCATGAGCGATCTGTGCCTTAAGGACATGTTCCTGCTGCAGATAACTAGCTAGAGCCCATCCCTTTGTTTCAGCCCATTCCTTTGTTTCCTGTAAGGAATACTTTTAGTTAATCTATAATCTGTAGAAACAATGCTCATCACTGGCTTGATGTCAATAAATATGTGGGTAAATCTCTGTTCAGGGCTGTCATCTCTGAAGGCTGTGAGTCCCCTGATTTCCCACTCCACGCTTTATATTTCTGTGTGTGTGTTTAATTCCTCTAGCACCACTGGATTAGGGTCTCCAAGACTGAGCTGGTCTCGGCAGGGTCCATTAGGCAAGAGCATTTAACAATTGTAAATATATATGCACCCCACACTGGAGCACCTACACATATAAAGCAATTATTGTAGCTGAAGAGAGAAACAGACCATAATACAATAATAGCTAGACATTTTAAGAACCCAATTTCAGCATTGGGGAGAACTTCCACACAGGAACTTAACAAGAAAACATCAGACTTAATCTGCTCTATAAACCAAATAAACCTAATAGATATTTACAGAACATTTTATCCAACTGCTATAGAATGTATATTTTACTCCTGAGAACATGGGTCATTCTCAAAAATAGACCAGATATTAGGTCACCAAACAAATCTTAAAATATTCAAAAATTGAAATAATATCAAACATCTTCTCTGACTACAATGGAATAAAACAAGAAATCCATAACAAGAGGAATTTTAGAAACTATAAAATCACATGGAAATTAAACAATATGCTCCTGAATGATCAGTGGGTAAATAAAGAAATTAAGAAGAAAATTTTAAAAATTCTTGAAACAGCTGATAACAGAAATGCAACATGACAAAACATACGGGATAAGGCAAAAAAAAAAGTATTAAGAGGGAAGTTTACAGCTATAAGCCTATATCAGGAGAGAAGAAAAACTTCAAATAAACAATGAAATGATTCATCTTAACCAGAAAAGTAGGAGCAAACTAGACCCAACATTTGTAGAAGAAACTAAATAATAAAGATCATAGCATAAATAAATTAAATTAAAATGAAGAAAGCAATAAAAATGGTCAATGAAACAAAAAGTTTGTTTTTCAGAAAGATAAACAAAATTGACAAAACATTATTAGCCAGACTAAGAAAACAGAGAGAAGCCTGAAATAAATTAAATAAGAGGTGAAAACATAGATATTGCAACCAATAAAATAGAAATTCAAAATATTATTATTGGTTACTATGAGTAACTACATGCAAATAAATTGGAGACTCTAGAAAAAAATGGGTAAATTTCTAGACACATACAACCTACCAGGATTAAATTATGAAGAAATCCAAATCCTGAAAAGACACATACTAACTAATGGGATGAAAACCATAATAAAAATTCTCCAAGTTAAGAAAACCCGGGACCCATTGGCTTCCCTGCTGAATTCTACCAAACACTTAATGAATAAATAATACCAATTCCACTCAAACTATTCTGAGAAATAGAGGAGTAGGGAATACTTCTAAATTTATTCTACAAGGCCAATATTACCCTAATGAGAAAATCAGACTGAGACAGATCATAAAAAGAAAACTATGGGTTAATATAACTAATGAATATTGATATAAAAATTCTCAACAAATTCTAGCAAACCAAATTCAATAGCAAACCATTTCAATAATGGATAGAAAATATCATTCATCATGACCAAGTGATATTTATCCCAGTGATGCAAGGATGGTTCAATATATGCAAATGAATTAATGTAATACAACATATCAACAGAATGAAGGGCAAACACTGTGTGATTATTTCAATTGATGCTGAGAAAGCATTTGAAATAATTCAACATCCCTTCACAATAAAAACGCTCAGAAAACTTGGAACATACCACAACATTTGAAAAGCCATATATGATAAATCCACAGCTAGTTTTATACTTAATGGGAAGAAATTGAAAACCTTTTCTTCTGAGATCTTGAATGGACAAGGATGCCCACTTTTTCCACTGTTATTCAACATAGTACTAGCTGGAGCAATCAGACAAGAGAAAGAAATTAAGGGCATTTAAATTGAAAAGTATGAATTAAAATTATACTTATTTGCAGATGACATGATCTTATATATTTTTAAAAAACCCTAATGATTCCATCAAAAACTATTAAAAATTACAAATGGATTCAGTAAATTTGCATGATACAAAATCAACATCAGAAATCAGTACCATTTCTATATGCCAAAAGCAAACAATCTGAAAAGGGAATCACAAAACTAATCCCATTTGCAATAGCTACAAATGCAATTAAATACATAGCAGTTAACTAAATCAAAGACGTGAAAGATTTCTACAATAAAAAATATAAAGCATTGATGCAAAAAAATTGAAGAAGACACAAAGAAATGGAAAAACATTCCATGTTCATGAATGGGAAGAACTGATATTGTTAAAATATCCATACTACCCAAATAAATCTACAGATTTAATGCAATCTCTTATCAAAATACCAATGACTTAGCAGCAATAGGGAAAAAAATCCATATATATACCACAAAATATACCAGAATAGCAAAAGCTATCTTAACCAAAAAGAAGAAAGCTTGAGGAATCACATTACCTGACTTCAGCTAATAATTTGAATTTCCTTAAGTTCAACCACAATTTTTTAATTCAATCTTTTCTAGAAACCAATCTTATGCTAACATTAGATGTTTCAAAAGTGATATTATTCCCTTGCAGAGAACAGGAGAATAATGTCAGCAAAAATAGAATGGGAAACTCCAAAATTCTCTCCTCCATAAAACAATGAGAAAACTGACAAAAAGTGACAGAATAAAGTTTTATGAAACTCCAGAAATTAACCAAAACTTGCAGGACTCTCCAGAGTGCAGAGTGTTTGTTTTTTTATAAAAATAATCTCTGTTCATGGCTCTGTAAGATAATGTACCCAACTGGGGCACAGATAAGCTAACCTAAAAGTTTAGAAGCAATAGCTGGCAAATTAGATGTCTACAATAAGTTTTGAAAAGCTCTGACATATTTCTTGAATCTAGACAGCCACACACAGGTATTTGTGTGCATGACCATGCTGGTATGCATATTCAGCAAAGACCCAAATAACCCTCAGTTCTCAACTCTGGATGAACCGAGGCTGATGAAAGCAAGAAGTCAAGGCTAAGGCATGATAATAAACAGCTTAGCTGAGTGTTGAAGATATTTCCAAACAATAACACAGAGACTTTATGCAAGGACAGGGAAACATATTGGTTCTAGGTAATTGAAGAAATCTCTGCTCAACCATTAGCTGACCAATAAACTAACTGAGAGAAATATCAGTTACTATAAACAACATAGAATATATTCTTTATGGAAATATTTCAGAAAACTTACTCAACAAACAAACAAAACAATAAACAGCAACAACAAATTCTAGGAAGCAGAAAATCCTGATTTCCAGAGTTGCCACAATATATTATTTTAAATGCCTAGTTTTAAAAAAAATACCACATGCAAAGAAATATGATTGTGTGGCCTTTACATTGAAAAATCCAACAAACACACACTAGAATCTGTCTCTGGAGAAGAGCAGACTTTTGACTTACAAGACAAAGACAAATCAGAAACTTTAAAGATTTTTAAAGAACTAAAGGAAATCATAAATTAAAAGAAGTTGAACAGCAAAAGGAAATTATGAGAATGATGTCTCCCTATAGAGAAGATCATTAAAAATAAAAATTAAACAAAAAATTCAAGTAGAAAATCTGGAGTTGTACAATAACTGAAATTAAAAATTCACTAAAGGAGATCAACATATTTGATCAAGCTGAAATAAGAATCTTCAAACTTGAAGACAGGTTAAGTGAGATTATCTCATGTGAGGGACAGGAAGAAAAAACAAAGAATGAACAGAGACTAAGAGAGTTGTGGGACAACATCAAGCATACAAAAACATGTATAATGGAGGAAAAAAATGCTTATCATAACTAATCATCAGAGAAATGCAAATCAAAACTACAAAGAGATACCATCTCATACAAGTCAGATGGCTATTATTATAAAGTCAAAGGCAACAGATGCCAGAAATGTTGCAGGGAAAGGGGAAAGCTTATACACTGTTAATAGGAATGTGAATTAGTTCAACCACCATTGAAAGCAGTTTGAAAATTTCTTTAAAAACTTAAAACAGAGCTACAATTTGATTCAGCAATCCCATGACTGGGTATATAATAAAGGAAAAATAGATCATAATACCAAAAAATACCTGCAGTCATGTTTATTACCATTCTATTAAAAATACCTGAGACATACAATCAATCTATGTACACATCAATGGTGGATTGAATAAAGAAAATATGGTACATATACACCATGCAATACTATGCAGCCATAAGAAAGAATAAAATTATTTTCTTTTCAGCAACATACATTAAACTGGAGGCCATAATCTTAAGAAAATTAATTCAGGAACAGAAAATCAAACGCTGCATGTTCTCACTTATAAGTGAGAACTAAATATTGATCGCACATGAACACAAAATGGGAACAATAGACACTACGGAGTGAAAAGGGAGGGACTGTGAGTGGAAAAACTATGTATTTGGTACTATGTACCTGGGTGCGATATACTCAGATAACAAACCTGCAAATATATCCCTGTATCTAAAATAAAAGTTGAAATTTTGTAAAACGTATAATGGGAGTAGCAGTGGCAGACATAGGGGGAAAAGAGGTACGAAGAATTTTTGAAAAAATGTTGGCTGAAACTTTCTGAATTTTATGAAAAACACAAATCTACATATATAGAAAGCTCAACAAAATCCAAGTAGAATAAATACAGACATCCACACTGAGACACATTATTCTCAAATAAAAAGAAAATCAAAGAATTAGCCAATAGTAGATCTGCCAAAATAAATTAAAAGAAATCTCTTAGGACTAAATAAAATAGCCCAACACAGTAACTAAAAAAATCCATATTAGAAGACAAATAGCATATGTAAAATTAACTACAAAGTTAAATATAAAAGACAACACATATGTATTTATTATCGGTAAACTTTTTTCTCCCATCAAATTTTAAAGACAACTGCAAAAGCAATAATTAGAGATCTCTGTTGATAGCATGCAATGTATAAAAGTAACATTTTGCCTGTTCATTCTGATGGTAGTTTCTTTTGCTGTGCAGAAGCTCTTTAGTTTAATTAGATCCCATTTGTCAATTTTGGCTTTTGTTGCCATTGCTTTTGGTGTTTTAGACATGAAGTCCTTGCCCATGCCTATGTCCTGAATGGTAATGCCTAGGTTTTCTTCTAGGGTTTTTATGGTTTTAGGTCTAACGTTTAAGTCTTTAATCCATCTTGAATTGATTTTTGTATAAGGTGTAAGGAAGGGATCCAGTTTCAGCTTTCTACATATGGCTAGTCAGTTTTCCCAGCACCATTTATTAAATAGGGAATCCTTTACCCATTGCTTGTTTTTCTCAGGTTTGTCAAAGATCAGATAGTTGTAGATATGCGGTGTTATTTCTGAGGGCTCTGTTCTGTTCCATTGATCTATATCTCTGTTTTGGTACCAGTACCATGTTGTTTTGGTTACTGTAGCCTTGTAGTATAGTTTGAAGTCAGGTAGTGTGATGCCTCCAGCTTTGTTCTTTTGGCTTAGGATTGACTTGGCGATGCAGGCTCTTTTTTGGTTCCATATGAACTTTAAAGTAGTTTTTTCCAATTCTGTGAAGAAAGTCATTGGTAGCTTGATGGGGATGGCATTGAATCTGTAAATTACCTTGGACAGTATGGCCATTTTCACGATATTGATTCTTCCTACCCATGAGCATGGAATGTTCTTCCATGTGTTTGTATCCTCTTTTATTTCCTTGAGCAGTGGTTTTTAGTTCTCCTTGAAGAGGTCCTTCACATCCCTTGTAAGTTGGATTCCTAGGTATTTTATTCTCTTTGAAGCAATTGTGAATGGGAGTTCACTCATGATTTGGCTCTCTGTTTGTCTGTTGTTGGTGTATAGGAATGCTTGTGATTTTTGTTCATTGATTTTGTATCCTGAGACTTTGCTGAAGTTGCTTATCAGCTTAAGGAGATTTGGGAGAAAATTTTTGCAACCTACTCATCTGACAAAGGGCTAATATCCAGAATCTACAATGAACTCAAACAAATTTACAAGAAAAAAACAAACAACCCCATCAAAAAGTGGGCGAAGGACATGAACAGACACTTCTCAAAAGAAGACATTTATGTAGCCAAAAAACACATGAAAAAATGCTCACCATCACTGGCCATCAGAGAAATGCAAATCAAAACCACAATGAGATACCATCTCACACCAGTTAGAATGGCAATCATTAAAAAGTCAGGAAACAACAGGTGCTGGAGAGGATGTGGAGAAATAGGAACACTTTTACACTGTTGGTGGGACTGTAAACTAGTTCAACCATTGTGGAAGTCAGTGTGGCGATTCCTCAGGGATCTAGAACTAGAAATACCATTTGACCCAGCCATCCCATTACTGGGTATATACCCAAAGGACTATAAATCATGCTGCTATAAAGACACATGCACACGTATGTTTATTGTGGCATTATTCACAATAGCAAAGACTTGGAACCAACCCAAATGTTCAACAATGATAGACTGGATTAAGAAAATGTGGCACATATACACCATGGAATACTATGCAGCCATAAAAAATGATGAGTTCATGTCCTTTGTAGGGACATGGATGAAATTGGAAACCATCATTCTCAGTAAACTATCACAAGAACAAAAAACCAAACACCGCATATTCTCACTCATAGGTGGGAATTGAACAATGAGATCACATGGACACAGGAAGGGGAATATCACACTCTGGGGACTGTTGTGGGGTGGGGGGAGTGGAGAGGGATAGCATTGGGAGATATACCTAATGCTAGATGACGAGTTAGTGGGTGCAGCACACCAGCATGGCACATGTATATGTATGTAACTAACCTGCACATTGTGCACATGTACCCTAAACCTTAAAGTATAATAATACAAAATAAATTTAAAAAAAGTAACATTTTATGACAATACAGCACAAATGTGGAGGACAGAACAAAATATATAGAAGCAAAGTTGTATAATATTTAAGTTAAATATTGGTATAAACATGAAATAGATTGTTATAAAATAAAACATTATTTGTAATCTCAAAGGCAAGCAATAAGATAACAAAAAGTAAAATAAGCTACAAGAGAATTAAAATGATACCCTTGTAAATAATTAACACAAAATAATCCAGTAAGAGAGAAAAGGAAAAAACAAAAAAGACATAAAACATACAACAACAACAACAAAAAAAAAACAAAATATATATGGATTAGAGAAAAAGAGATTCACATATTTGATAAAAAAGTCAATTATATGCTGTCTATAAAATACTTATTTTAGATCAAGAGAAAAAAATAGACTGGGCATGATGACCAGTAACAGTAATTGCAGCGTTTTGGGAGGCCAAAGTGGGAGGATTGCTTGGGGTCAGGAGTTCAAGACCAGCCTGGGCAACATAATGAGTTCCTATCTTTACAAAAAATTTTAAAAAATGGCTGGGCATGGTGGTGTGCACCTGTAGTCTCAGTTACTCAGGAGGCTAAGATGGAAGGATTGCTTAACCCCAGGAGGTCAAAATTACAATAAGCCATGATTGTGCCATTGCACTCCAGTCTGGGAAACAAAGGCTATATCTAGATACAGTGGCTATGAATCTTAGTTTACAAACTTGCATGAGAAAAATGATCTTGATTACCTTTTAATCAGCCAAATTCTGACTTAAATCTCTATCCCTCAAGACTGATGGAAAATCCAATTTTTATCAGTTTTGGTGGCTTCTTCACTTTCATGACTACATTAGAATTTAAGAAACGTATTTGGCTTTCAGATTCAAAAATGGGGAAGGGCCAATTAGTTTCTAGTTTACCATGGTTACTGCTAATCCTCTTACTGGGACTTTGAAATCCATCTTCTCTGTGATTCAATGTCTAGTATAAGACATGGAATTTTTGCTAAGGTCTGAACTCTGATGCCTGAGATCCTACCTTCATAGACACACCTCAGATAGGCCCACTTTCTAGAGGCACAGCTTTATTAAAGTGCATGGCTTGATCCAAGCCTTCAGAAATGTCTCTTTCAGCATAGAGAAAAATCTCTTTCTCTACTTGTTTATTTCACAGATATTTTCTTCCTCTAATTGTACAGGGCAAGAAGGAAGCTGCCTCTCTGGCAACTTGTTTCTGCCCTACGATAAGTCTCTCTGAGGCAGGGAAGCATATCTATTAAAGTGAATGGAAAGGAGAAAAAGGTTAAATAAAATAGAAAAAATGTCATATTTCAAAACTGATTGTTTTCTCCTGGGTGTATAATAAGTAGAGATGTATTTGCAGTAATGATTAACTCACTATTATTCCAGTGAGATATCTTTAATAAAAGATATCACAGCACCAGCATATTCATTTCAAACGAATTAAGGTTTTAGAAAATTATTTTAAAAGATTATATACACAGGCGAAGAGCAATACTTGATCATAACAAAGATATAAGGGGCTCTGTGGCATGATTGTTATAAAATATCTGCTGGATAGTAGAAACATTCTTAAAATTTTTAGATAAAAGCAGTTAAAATTACTTTTTAAATGTATACTTTATAGAGAAAGGCAAAGGAAACAGGCTAACTACATGCTTTTTAGGGTAAATATTGAGGCAGTAGTCAAAAATGTGTAGTCCTGAAGGAATGCTTAGTACATCTGTAAGAAAAATATCTGCTAGCAGAAAAGGACCTTAAATTATGAGTAAAAAATTTCTTGTTCCATCTATCCAACATATGTTACTGGCTACTGTCAGTTCTTGTTGTCTTTAAGAGCATAGGCTTTGCCAGAACAGTAAAGATGTAAAAGTGGCAGGACAGAATACCAGTGGATTGTAGCTTTTCTTGTAGAGATTGAATAATAATGGAAGAGAGGGCTATAGCTTGACAAGGTAAACCAATGCATCTAAAATGTTTCATGGAAGAAATTGAGAAGGTTAATATAACTGAACTGACAGCCAAATTAAACAAAATACAGGAGGTGTAAGCACTTAGATTAAGATAAACTGTTTCCTAATCCTTTGTGATCAGCTTTTGCAGGTCAGTTAATTTAGGTAGAAAATAAGCTATTAGAAAACCATTAAAAGCAATGAATTTATATTTACACCTGGAAAGAGGATAGATTTTGAGAACAGTGCTAAAAATTAAAAAGCATTTTGAAATCTACAACATAACTATGTATATAAATTTGAGACTCTAAATATCAAGAAATAAGGTAAAGAATGTGAGGCTTCAGGTGGAAATACCCAGATACTGCAGTAGAGGTCAATGAATTTGGAACACATATGTAAAAGGGCCATAAATCAGGGTAAGATTAAGACACTGAAACAGGAATATGACGGAAAGTTGACCTTGTTACTAGTTAGTAGTGTTAAATGAAAAAAGGCTACTCTTTCTAGAGAAGAAAAACTTTTATCGAATGGAGATTTTGATTGGATGATGGTCTGAAACGTCAGCGAATTTTTTTTACTCTACTGCTAGTGAAATGGCGTGAGTTATAAAACACACTTTAAAGATGCTCTGTCCATCATATTGAAGACAAAATTATGTAAAAAGTATGGACTTTTGAGTTACAAAGGTGTGAATTTGAATTCTGACACTAACCGTACAGTTTCTTATTGCTGCTATGACAAATTACCACAAAATTGTTTAAGAAAGCACAATTTTATTATCTTACTGTTCTGAAGTTCGATACAGGGCTCATAGGGCTAAAAGCAAGATGTCAAAAAGACTGAAAAGACTGAATTTATTTCTAAAGGCTCTCCGGACTAAACCATTTCTTGTCTTTTTCAGACTTCAGAGGCTTTCTACATTTCTCGGCTCCTTGGTCCCTTCCTCCACCCTTAAACCTAACAATGGCGAGTTTAGTCTTTCTCACACTGCCATCTCTCTTGCTATATCTTTTATTTTTGACCTGTGAGCACATTGGACCGTCTCAGGTAATCTAGGATAATATCCCTATCTTAAGGTCAGCTGATTAGCAATCTCAATTCTATCTGCAACTATAATTTTCCTTTTCCATGTAATCTAACATATTTATAAGTTCTGGGGATTAGGACATAAACATATTTGGGGGCCCATTATTAGCTTATTATACTAATGCATTACTTTATTTTCATTTTATAAATGTGTTTAATGCTTTACTGTGTGCCTGATGACATGTTAGATTCTGGAGACACAAAACTGAGTAAGATACAGTTCCTGTCCTTATTACCCTATTTCTCTGTCCCCTCACTGGTAAAATGTAGATAAAAAATATTGATAATAATATCCAGTTCAAGGAGTTGTCCAGAAGATTAAGAAGAATACATAAAGATGTCTCTGGCACTCAATAAGCATTGCTATTATTAGAGTTAGTTGACAATAGATAGGAATTGGTAAAACATTATGGAAAATAACAGTAATTATTGGTTTACTTATTTATTGTTCTCCCTTCTTGTAATGTAAGCTCCACTAGGAGCCTTGTCTGTCTTTCTATGCTCAATCTCCAGTGCCTAAAACAGTGCCTGGTACTTAGTGGGCACTCAATAAATATTTGCTTAAGTAATGAAAATTTTTTCCAATTGTACCTAAATGATCATCTGTAAAAGGTTTTTAGAAGTACTTCAAAAACAATGGCTTAACGACCTGTATGGATCCTCTCTCCAGAGAAACAATCAAAACTCGTAAAATCATTTTAAAAACCAAACAAGTAATTTAAAGTTTCTGTAAATTGTCTTAACCATATACAGTAAGTGGAGAAACAGTTAGTTAAATAAATCTACTAAAGCTTTGTAAGAACAATGAGAGTCTGTGACATTTAGGCCACAAAATGTTCCCTTTTACCACACAGCTCTTATCTGGAAAGTGACATCCAGGAAAACAGGATTCTCAATCCCTTCAAGTATTTGTCTAGGGTTATGTGTATTAGTCAGGGTTCTCTAAAGGGATAGAACTAATAGGGTAGATGAATATGTGAAGGGGAGTTTATTAGGAGAATTGACTCACACGATCACAAGGTGAAGACACACGATAGCCTGTCTGCAAGCTAGGAGCAAGGAAGCAAGTCCGAGTCCCAAAACCTCGAAAGTAGGGAAACCGATAGTGCAGCCTTCAGTCTGTAGCCAAAGGCCCGAGAGCCCCTGGCAAATCACAGGTGTTAAGTCCAAGAGTCCAAAAGCTGAAGAACTGAGTCTGATGTTCAAGGGAAGGAAGCATCCTGCATAGGAGAAATAAAAAGGCCAGAAGACTCAGCAAGTCTGTTCTTTCCATGCCTGTTTTTATGCTGGCAGCTGATTAGATGATGCCCGCCCAGATTGAGTGTGGATCTGCCTCTCACAGTCCACTGACTTAAATGTTAATCTCCTTTGGCAACACCTTCACAGACACAGCCAGGAAGAATACTTTGCATCCTTCAATCCAACCAAGTTGACACTCAATATTAACCATCACAAGTCCACCCCTTGTCAACTTGAAGCTGTACACATCACCTGAAATCATACATAAACTTCAAATAAAGAAAATAATTAGAACATAATTATGCCTAACAAAATACAGCTATCCTTTGTGCAAGTGGAAGCACACTAATCCTTAACCTTAATGCGATTACATAAAGTTAACAACACTTAAAAGCTGATATGAAGTCAATAAATCTTATGTCACATGATAAAGGAAAAAGAAAAAAATGAAGATTTTTCTTAGTGCAAGTGTATACATGCACAAACATGTTCTTAACAAAATAAGGAGGAAATACTCATGACAATTACAGTCCTCCTTTCTGCAACTGGTCACGTGGTCTTAGCTGGAATTGATGACTGCCTTCTTCTACTACCCATTCTGTAATCCCTTTGCCTTCAGCAAACACCTCAGCAGATCGTGGTTTTTAACCTGGTGGCATAACCAAAACTTTTATTTTTTAAGAGTCTGGGCCATTTGTAGTCCTGCCTAGATTGGGTTGTTGTAGTTTCCCATTTACCTTAATCACAGGGCATGATAATAATAAGAGACACCCTAAGTGATCTCCTCTATCCCACGCATACTCTTCCTTACCTCCATTGTGGAGTAGCAGACTGATTTCATCTTGATAGTCTGGGTCAATCACTCCAGTCAACACTGTAACTCCCTTCTTAGCCTGTTGACTTAGAGGTAGGAGGAGCCCAAAGTGTCCAGGTGGCAACCTTAACTTCCAGTTTAATGGAAACGTTGTTGTGTCTCCTGTGGCAGCATTCCTCCCTCTGGAACTAAGACCTCTAGACCAGCAGAACCTAATGTCGTGGGAACAGGAACCAAAAGTGGGGGTGATGGTGAGTGGTGACCCTTCCACTTCCACCCGTTGATTCCTGGACCAGTGAATTCTGGCTGTGGGAGAAATGGTGATATATTGGATGTTGATTCAGAGCATACACAGCCTTCTGGGGAACTTTGCCCTATCCCTACAAAGTACTGTCACCTAGTTGGCATTGTAATTGTGACTTCAAAAGGCCATTCCACCATTCTATCAAACCAGCTGCTACAGGGTGATGGGGAACATGGTAAAACCAGTGAAATCCATGAGTGCAAGCCCACTGCTTCACTTCTTTAGCCATAAAGTGAGTGCCTTGGTCAGAGGCAATGCTATGTGGAATATGATGATGATGGATAAGGCATTCCATGAGTCCACAGATGGTACCCTTGTCAGAAGCATTGCCTGCAGAATAGGGAAACCCATATCCAGAGTAAGTGTCTATTCTGGTGAGGACAAGCTGATGCTCCTTCCCTGATGGAAGATGTCCAACATAATCATCCTGCCACCAAGTAGCTTGCTGATCACCTGGAGGAATGGTGCCATATGGAGGGCTCAGTGTTGGTCTCTGTGGCTGGCAAATCTGGCACTCAGCAGTGGCCATAGCCAGGTCACTCTTAGTGAGTGGAAGTCCATGTTGCTGAGCCCATGCATAACTTCCATCACTACCACCATGGACATTTTGTTCATGAGCCTATTGGGCGATGAGAGGAGTTGTTGGGGAAAGAGGCTGTGTGGTGTCCACAGAACAAGTCATTCTATGCACTTGATTATTAAAATACTTCTCTGCTGATGTCATCCTTTGGTGAGCACTCAAATACAAATATCTTATCAGTGTTTTGACCACTCAGAGACATCCATCCAGGTACCTCCTCCCCAAACTTATTTGTCACTAATTTTCCAGTCATGCTTCTTCCAAGTCCCTGATCATTTAGCCAAACCATTGGCTGCAGCCCATTAATCAGTATATAATCACACATCTGGCCTTTTCTCCTTCCAAGCTGTGTAACCATGTGCACTGCTCAATGCTCTGCCCACTGGAAAGATTTCCCTTTGCCACTGTTTTTCAGGGATGTTATAGAAAGGGGCTGTAGTGCTGCAGCTGTCCACTTTTGGGTGGTGCCTGCATATCATGCAAAGCCATCTGTAAACCAGGCCCTTGTCTTCCCTTTCTTTGTCAACTGATCATAGGGAACTCCCCATGAGGCCATGGGTGCAAACTCAGGGAGAGAAGGCAGAGTGGCAGGAATGGGGACCATGGGCATTTGAACCACTTCGTCGTGCAACTTACCAAAATCTTAACTATTATAAACAGTGCTACAACAAACATGAGAGTGCAAATATCCCTTCAATATAATAATTTTATTTGTTTGGGCATATACCCAGTAATGCAATTACTGGAGTATGTGGAAGCTCGACTTTTACTTTTTTGAGGAAACTCCAAACTATTCTCCATAGCAGTTGTACCAATTTACATTCCCACCAACAGTGTTTGAGAGATTCCTTTTCTCCACATCCTTGACAGCATTTGCTATTGCCTGTCTTTTGGATATAAGTCATTTTAACTAGGTTGAGATAATATCTCATTGTAGTTTTGATTTGCATTTCTCTGATGATCAGTGATACTGAGCACCTTTTCAACTGCTTGTGCACCATTTTATTTCTTTTGAGAAATATCTATTTTAATCTTCTGCTCACTTTTCTAAAAAAATCAGACTGTTAGATTTTTTTTAGAGTTGTTTGAGCTCCTCATATATTCTGGTTATTAATCAATCCCTTGTGAGATGACTAGTTTGCAAATATTTTCTCCCATTATTTAGGTTGTCTTTTCACTTTTTAAATTGTATCTGTTGCTGTGCAGAAACTTTTTAACTTTTGTAATTCAATTTGTTCATTTTTGCTTTCATTGCCTGTGGTCGTGGGATATTTTTCAAACATATTTTGCCCAAACTAACATCCGAAAGAGTTTCTCCAAAGTATTCTTGTAGTAGTTTCATAGTTTGTGGTCTTGCATTTAAGTCTTTAATTCATTTTGATTTGATTTTTGTATATGGTGAGAGACAAACATCTAGCTTTATTCTTCTGCATACAAATATTCAGTTTTCCTGGCACCATTTATCAAAGAGACTATATTTTCCCCAGTGTATGTTCTTTACACTTTTCTCAAAAATGAATTCACTGTAGGTGTGTGGATTTGTTTCATGGTTCTCTATTCTTTTCCATTGGTCTATTTGTCTCTTTTTATGCCAGTACCATGCTTTTTAGTTACTATCGCTCAGTAGAATAATTTGATGTCAGGTAATGTAATTCCTTCAGCTTTATTTTCCCCCTTAGGATAGCTTTGACTATTCTGGGTCTTTTGTAATTCCATTTAAATTTTAGAAATGTCCTTTTCTATTTCTGTGAAGAATGTGCCTGGTATTTTAATCGGGATTGCATTGAATCTATAGATTGCTTTGGATAGTATG